>NC_000006.12:6120606-6272121 GCF_000001405.40 Homo sapiens | reverse complement strand
CTGTGGAATGCATTGAAAGGTTGAGAGGACATTTTCCCCAGGGTCACATAGCACTGAATTTGAGCTGTGGCTAGATTTCTCTTTCCTATCTTGTGAAGAATACTAATATCAAGAAACTGTGCACAAAGCTCAATCAAGCCTAGGTAGCTAAGGTTGGAAAAGAGTAACATCACAAATGGAATTAAAGATTTTCATCTTCTTCCTCCTACATCCCAGCTGGGGGGATTAAGGTAGGTCTGTGTAAGGAGAGTGAGGCCCTCAGTAAAGGGACAATGAGACATTCGAATATAGGCATATGGTCCAAGCGGCTTTTGCCTTAAAAACATTAGTTTTGTGGCCTCAATAATAATTCACAAATGGAAGCAAGCACTGAAACTAAGAGCATATGTTAATTTCTAGATCACTTGGGAAGATGGCACTAGTTTTTGATAAGTGTGAAAAAATGCAATTGGTAATTATAATATTTCCTCATGTTTAGTAGTCCAATTTCAAAGGCTGCAATTATTAAAAACAAAACGGGATTCCTTTCTTGGATGCTGTCTTTCCCGATGTCTTTTTCTTGCCCTGATGTTTTTAACGCAAAGTTGCATGATTTGGGGGAGAAAAACACATCTATCCAGGCATTATATACTCTAGGCAAACACGTGCATGGAGGTTCCCTGTATGGAGCCATGTTTTCCATCCAGATTGGGCCAAGGATAGCTGATGGGCAGTCATGGATGTTGATGGATGGGTTTTCCCAGGGTAGCTGGATTGTGGTCTCGTAACCATGCCGACTCCTGGGGCTGAGAAGGGCTATTTAGTGAAATGAAATACTACTCTGTCACAACTTCCTCACTCACAATTCAATCATGGAGAGTACTTCCCCAGTGCTGTCACTGAAATCATTACATTCAGAATTAAACATGGGTGTAATAGAGCAGTCCCTGAGGTTCTATTGGCACATCAGGTTCCACATTCCTAACCAGCTTTCCCATACAGGAATATGAAAAGCCTGCCAATCAGGATTCTTTTTCCTTCCTTTGGAATTAATCTCACCACTCCCTGTCCCTGATAACGCTTCCATAACCTGTTCCCGGGCCACGTGGCATCAGCGTATCAGCAGGATTGCTCAGCCTTCACCCTTTGGTGTCTGACATTACTTTGGAAGTCTTCCCAATGCAAATCACAAAAAAATGAGTTGGCCCAGAGAGACCCTCATGCAGGTTCTCTCCACCTGGTCTTCCTTCTCTTCACTCACTCAGTTGTTACCTCCTTTGATCCACATTTCTGGCTCACACAACTCTTATCCACGGCAGCATATTTTCTCAATGTCCCTTTTCCTCATATTCCTTTGGACTTTCCAGTTTTATTCTTCTCTTGTCTCCTTTCATCTCCCTAGATCCCTTTTGCCATTCTCCACCTTCCTCCACAGAGGAAGCATGACATGGAGCAAAGAGAACAGGCTTCCCTGTCCCCAGTTCTGTCTCCACTTCTGCCTAGCTATGTGATGTGCACACATGACGCCCTCACCAAGCCTCAGTTTCCCATCTGTAAAAATTTCCTCACAGAGGTTTTGTAAGGACCCCAAGAAATAAAACTTATTTCCTGTCACTTTATTTGCATCACTATGTGAACTGCCTTGGCAACTCTAAACAACTTTTGCAATCTTAAAATTGAATATTTTAGCCATGAATCATAAAATCAATAAAAAGCTACAAACTTCCTATGTTTTCAACACCCCCTGAGACTGTGGGGAATTTAGGCGACTTTAAGGAAACTAAAGGTTGACCTACTAGTAGTACAGATGTTTGCGAATAGTTTAGAAACATATTTCTCCTTGGAAGGAGAAGCTAGGTGATGGTATTTTCTTCTTAGGCTCAAGTGTTAGACTTCAAGAGTCTGTAATAAATCGCTCCTTAAATAAATAAAATGTGAAATCCTCTAAGGCAGATGTTGGCAATTGTTTACTGTAAGGGCCAGCTACTGTGTTAGGCGTTGCAGACCATAGGGACTCTGTCACAACTACTCAACTCTGCTCTTACAAGAGTAGGGTTGTATTGTAGCACAATAATACACAAGCAAATCAACATAACTGTGTTCCAATTAAACTTTATATAAACAGTAGGTAGGCTGGGCGCAGTGGCTCATGCCTGTAATCCCAGCACTTTGGGAGGCCTAGGCGGGCAGATCATGAGGTCAGGAGATCAAGACCATCCTGGCTAACAAGGTGAAACCCCGTCTCTACTAAAAATACAAAAATTAGCCGGGCGTGATGGTGGGCGCCTGTAATCCCAGCTACTAGGGAGGCTGAGGCAGGAGAATGGCATGAACCCAGGAGGCAGAGCTTGCAGTGAGCCAAGATTGCACCACTGCACTCCAGCCTGGGCAACAGTGCAAGACTCCATCTCAAAACAAAACAAAATAAAACAAACAAAAAAAAAAACAGTAGGTAAGCTACATTTGGCCCGCAGACTATAGTTTTCTAACCATTGCTCTAAAGGATGAATGGAGATTACATTGATCATTAACAACTCAGAAAATCAGAAATTATGATTGAATGGGAGGTTTCAGGTGACTCCATGATGATTCTGGAATTATTAAGGCTTTTGGTTACTAATAAATGGCAACCCTTTTTTTTTTCTTTTTTTACTTCTACAAGTTCTCCTGATGGAAAAATCAGTCAGCTCAAGGTTTTTTAGTTTGGGATGAATTGGCCTTTGAAATAGATTTGGGCTTTGATAGGTTTGTTGGCAATTGGTAAACCCATCCTAATTTCCCACAGATGGAGCAGAGAAGGATCACTTAGAGGAATCAGAAAGCCCAGGACAACAGGGAAGTAATGATAACTACCAATTATTAAGCTGCCCTCCCCATCACAAACTATGACCACCATGATCTCCATTTTGTAGAAGAAGCAAAGTTTTAGTTGACAGGGGATGAGTGCTTTGCCCGAGATCACACAGAAGTGTTAGAGCCAGCTGAATTGCTTTCCCCTTAGCCACAATATCTCAATCAACACAAGTAACGTACTTTCCTTGGGACATTCACCTTTCTTCAGATTCAGAACCAGAGAGCAAAAAAGAAATCACCCCTTCTTCCTTCTGCCTTTACTTTCTAGTAGAAGTTATACTTAAAAAAAAAAAACAATTTGCCAGGCATGGTGGCTCACACCTGTAATCCCAGTACTTTGGGAGGCTGAGGCGGGGGGGAACACCTGAGGTCAGGAGTTTGAGACCAGCCTGCCCTACATGGCAAAAACTTGTCTCTACTAAAAATACAAAAAGTTAGCCAGGCATGGTGGTGGGTGCCTGTAATCCCAGCTACTTGGGAGGCTGAGGCAGGAAAATTGCTTGAACCCAGGAGGCAGAGGTTGCAGTGAGCTGAGACTATGCCACTGCACTCCAGCCTGGGTGGCAAGAGTGAAAGTCCTTCTCAAAAAAAAAAAAAAAAAATGAGTGCCCCCTCAGCCAGCCCCTACTGTGTGCTAAGCATAAAGCTTTCATTATATTATAAAATCTATTGTCTTTTTATTTCCCAAACTAAACTGCAAAGAATCAAGAAAATGGAAGCTAAGACAAGTAAGTGATTTGCCTGAAGTTGCACCAGTAGTTAATAGTGGAGTCAGAATTTGACATGGTTCTCATCAACTCCAAAACATTTTCAACTCACACAGCTGCCATAGAGCTTAGAACAGGCCGACTCTCAAACCAGATGGTCTGGGTTCAAATCTGAACTCCACTATTTGCTAGTTGTATCACCCTAGGTAAGTTGCTTAATGACTCTTAGTTTCCTGATTTGTCAAATTAGGATGATGATAATGGTTTCCTTCTCATCTTTTGTTATAGGGAATAAAGGGGTAATAAGAACATGGTAAGCCACATGCTTTGGCTTTTTCTGTGGAATATCAGCTCTATGAGCACAGAAGTTATTGTCTGTTTTCTTCACTGTTGTATCCTTAGCACTTAGGATAATGTCTAGCACATAGTAGGCAATATCAATATATGAATGAAAAATGTCAGAAGTAGTCTTTAAATTAGGTTATGACTGGATTCAAAGTCAGCATGAAAAAGCATAGCTTTCCTTTTGCTTTACTATTTTTGTATAACTTGGATTTGATAGGTGAAATTCAATATGAGTCTTTGAAGTCTTAATTTAAAGTGTAACAGTGGAAACTAGTGATTGTCTTCATTCTTTCCATGTTCCCAACAAAAGTAGAAGTTAGTACAAAGGTGAAGCTTTTAAAACAAAAGTGGAAGTTAGCACAAAGGTGAAGCTGAGGTTGAGCACATAACAGGTACAAAGAGTGCTTTCAGATGTACTTCTCTAGTTTTTTGCTATTCCCCAAAGTGCATCCTTACATAATTAGCTTTAAAATTCCTTTCATCCCTTATTTTTTTTTAAATCTATCATTAACACGTAGATTTTTATCTCTAAGTTTATTTTTACTAAACTTGCATCTTTTTAAATACGACGTATTCTGAATCTAAATCAGTATTTAGTGACAACAGCTGCTGGGAACCACTGTAATAAATGAATTATGGGTCCCATTTACCTGGCAAGATTGCCTTTGATGTCTACACGTCAACAGTGAAAGGGGTTCCAGAGAAAAACAAAGCCTCTGGTAAAAAGGGCAAGCTCATCCCAAGATTGAGTATGCACGAAGAGGGAGCAGAAACAGGAGATGGGTGCCTCTGGAACAAACATGCTTATGCAGGTGGGTTTATGGAGGGGCTCCTGAGAGGGTGAGTCCCATGAGTCTTCAAGAGCATTACTTAGATGCCATGGCACCTAGGCAGAAAACAATGTTTAAATTTGTGCTGGATTTACAAGTATATGTGATATTCATTCTGAGTGGTATAACCTATATCCCTAATAGCAAAGTGTTGAAGTTCTAATCTTTCTCAGTGGTTTGCACTGTGTAAATTATTATTTTCATTAAGATTAAGCATCCTCACAGAATTGCACAGCAGTAACTTATGTAACCACCTCCTTAGAATGTTCTCTCTCTGACAATATGCCTACCAAAGACTCTTTTAAAGATCTTTGAAATTAGTAATTAGGGAGGTTACAATGGAGCACTGTTTGCTTGTCTTAATGTGGAATCCTCTACATGCTTTATAGAAAACAAATGAAGTGAATAAGTTTTGCTCTTGAAGGTTCTCCTGCTTACAATCAAAGTAATTTGCAGACTTGCCTGATTTGTATGTTTCTTCAAGTCAAGAATAATTCTAATGGATTACTCCTGTCCCTTCAGCTATAAGATAACAGAGTGAGAACAAAAATGGCTTGTGAAATCAACCTAACAGAGTATTTCTTCTCTCTTCTCATAGGTCGCTACCCACAGGAGAACAAGGGAACCTACATCCCAGTGCCTATAGTCTCAGAGTTACAAAGTGGAAAGTGGGGGGCCAAGATTGTCATGAGAGAGGACAGGTCTGTGCGGCTGTCCATCCAGTCTTCCCCCAAATGTATTGTGGGGAAATTCCGCATGTATGTTGCTGTCTGGACTCCCTATGGCGTACTTCGAACCAGTCGAAACCCAGAAACAGACACGTACATTCTCTTCAATCCTTGGTGTGAAGGTAAGAGGCAGACATTTAGTTTTCTCATTTAAAAATTCACCTATTTGGCGGGGTGCCATGGCACATGCCTATACTCCCAGCTCTTTGGGAGGCCAAGATGGGAGGATCGCTTGAGGCCAGGAGTTTGAGACCTAGTCTCTAAAAAATAAAAATTAAAAATTAGATGGGTGTGGTGGTGCACACCTGTACTCCCAGCTACTTGGGAGGCTGAAGTGGGAGAATTGCTTGAGTTCGGGAGTTGGAGGTTACAGTGAGCAATGATTGTGCCACTGTACTCCAGCCTGGGCAACAGAGCAAGACTCCGTCTTTGAAAAAAGAAAAAAAACAAGCTCATGTATTTCCAATACATCTCTTTTTGAAGGGGTAGTAAGATTATTCTAAATACATATGCCTCTCCTACATATACCATCTTTAATGATTGAAAGAGAAAGATAGAAAATTCATCCTCCATGTGTATGAAGATAAAACCTCTATATGTGAAGTCAATGCTGCTATACATTTATTTCGGGATTAATTGGAGATTGTCTAAAGTTGCAGTTAGTTATTTGTGGAGCTATTAATTGCAGTTTTGTAATTAAAAGTAATTGCAAAAATCACAATTACTTTTGCACCAACCTCACCAACCTAATATATGTTGACAGTATAACCTCTGTACACTATTACTCTGTAAACAAATTGGGCTTATTAAGCTTGATTATCAAAACTATTAGAGTCTATAACTCTGACTTCAGAAAAATAAAATAAAGTCGACGCTGTTCATAGTAGAACTAACCTCTCTATCCCCCTACTTTAAGAACAGAAAGTCTGTATATCTAAAGGATTCCACAAAGTTGTTTATGTGCATAGTGGGTGCAAATTTTGCAAACCATAACTCTGGATGTGCAAAGATGTAGCTGTACTTTAATATAATATAACTTGATCTCTAGTGCTATTTTCAGTCTTCCTTTCTGTCTGCGGCAGAAGCTTAATCTAGTTATATTCAAATAAAACTCAGTCAAGTTCAATGATTTCTCTATCAATTCTGTTTTGTGCCTCAGTCACACATAGCATTTTCTCCTCATCTTCATCTCTGCCCTTTCATACCTCTCCCCTGCTCCCACACTTTGTACGAAGCTGTTTTAAGTTCCAGAGGCAGATGCAGATGTTGCAGCAGCATCAATGTGGGAGAGACCACTTCTAGGTCCTAGGAAATAAGGCAGTGAAAGATATGAAAGCTCACATGGGGCAGGAGACTTCCCATGGCACCCTACCCCATATGCACTGCTCTCTAACATCATCCAAAATGAGCCCATATTATTGCTGATTTTGAATGATCCTTGTATGTGAAAGTCACATTTGAATCAGGGTTAATCTGTCCTAGATATAGATAAGTGCACAACAATATTTGCTACTCATCTAGAACATACACCTTGGTCCTACTGATCTTTTCTTTGTTTTATATTTATATTTATTTACTTTTTGTAGAGACGTGGTGTCACTATGTTGTCCAGGCTGGTCTCGAACTCTTGGGCTCAAGCAGTGCTCCTGCCTGAGCCTCCCAAAGTGTTGGGATTACAGTCATGAACCACCATGCCCAGCATGGCTTGGGAATTACCTGTTCCACTAGTGTTGGCAAAAGGCGCCAAGCTATTCCTACACTCCCTATACATCCATCCTCATCATATTGTACCCAACACTCCTATCTATGAGACAGATATTCAAGGTAAATGGTAACAGGAAATGTTAACTGGGCCATGTGCAGTTCAAAAAATGAACTCTTGATAGTAATCTTAAAACCAGATGTGAGGCATTTGCAACTGGTTGATGGGGTGATATTTACAGAGATGAAAAATACTGAGAGGATCAGAGTTACAGATATATAAATTAAGATTTTGAATATGTTAAGTTGGAGATAACCATAGATAGACAGCAGAAATGACAAATAGGTATGTGAATCTGGAGAAGAAAATCAGAGATATATATTTGGGAGTTATCTGTACCTAGGGAGAAAATATAGATAAAGAAGGAAATAGGATATAGTATCTAGCCTTCAGGAACACCATCATTTAGGAGTCCAGTAGAGAAGGAGTCAGCAAAAGAGAATGAGATGGAAGAGTATGTAGGAAGCAACCTATTCTAAGAAAATTGTATTTAAAAATTCATACTTATCAATCAAGAGTTTGTTATTGACTTTCTTTTTATTACAAAAAGAAAATCCTAGGCTACATATAACTGTTCAGAACTCTAGGAAATTTCAGGAATGCTATAATTTACCCAGACTTTGGTTTGTTTGCAACTTTTCTGGATTATATCATGTGTGTAAATGGGATATGTGTCTGCATTCATTTCAACTTATGTGACCACTCTTCTTGACGGGAAAAGGGTTAGTTAAGTTGCTTGACATATTAACTTTCAGGATAACTACTCAGGAGGTGGACAATCTAATAACCTTCTAATTGCTGCCTTGATCTTCAGTTGTATCCATGATGAGCAGCTTCCAGATACCTCTGTTCTGAAAAAGTCACTTAGGTCTGGAGGCGTTCTTGTTCTAGAGGCTGTACAGGGACCTCCCCTAGGTTTTCAGTTCATGGAAAGGATTGGAGGAAGGTGGGACAAAAACCAGAGACCAATTTGGAAGCTGTGGTCTAGGACAAAGATGATGATAAACTAAACATGGTGGTACCAGTGGAGATGAGAAGGGGTTAGATTGGAGATCTATTTTGTATTTAGAACAAAAATTGCACAGGGATTCAAGATGAGAAGTAAAGAAATGGGAGGACTCAAGAATAACTCTAGATTTCTTGTTAGACCAATTGGGTTGATGGCGGTGCCATTTTCAGAGCTGGGAAAACTGTGGGAAGTGGAGGGGAAGCACTGGGGGTGAAGCTAAGAGTTACATTCAGAAATGTTAATTTGGTGATGTCTATGAGACATGCAAATGAAAACGTCAAGTAAGCACTTGAATAAAGTGAATCTAGAACTCAAAGGAGATGGCTGAGCTAGACATGTAAACATGGGCACGGTTAGGAGCAATAACGGACACAAATGATTCAGGGTCATTAACAATTAAGAGTTGAGACAAAGGAGAAGTCAACAAAGGAGGCTGAGCAGGAGCAGTCAGTGGAGCGCAAGGAGATCAAAAGAGCCCAGAGCCAGACACATTGATAGATTCAAGACAGCAGTCAACTCTGTTTAATGCTATGATTAGTTGAATAGGATAGGGGAGGAAAGTGGCCATATAGTGTGGAAATATGGATGTCTTCGATGATCTTGAAAAGGACGGTTTCACTAAAGTGATAGAGACAGAAGCCAGGGAGATGGTCATGGGCTGTGTTGTAAACAGGAGGCGAGAAAGTAGAGACGGCGGGAGATGGCACCTTTCTCAAGACTTTCTGTAGCACCTAGATGTTGAAGCGAAGGTCAAAGGAGAATTTTTTAAAGACAAGAGAGAGTGGGTGTTATTTTATGGTGACGGAGAGGAACCAGGAAAGAGAGTTTGCAGTCCAGAGAGAGGACGGTGGTTCACAGCCTTGGCTGCACGTTGCAATCATCTGGGAAGCTTTGAAACTATGGATGCTTCAGTCCCCCATGCAGGCATTCTGATGTAATTGCTCTGGACTGCAGCCTGGGCTTTGGGGTTTTTTAAAGTTCTGCAGGTGATTCTTGGAGCTAAGGTTGAGAAGTTTCAGGAGTGAAATCCTTGAGTGGTTGGAATCCAGGGAACAGGTGAAGAAGGGCCTGTGATGGGTGGGGCTATCTACTCTCTCCAGAGACAGGAGTAGAGTAGAAGAAGAGGGGTGCAGATTTTCCAGTTTAATGGAAGAAGAATGAGGTGATTGCCATTTTGTGACTCCTTTTTTTTTTTTTTTGTCAGTGAAGTGTAAAGCAAAGTCATGTGTTGAGAAGCAGCAGCAAGGAAGGGCATGAAACGCTTGATAGGGAAGATGTGAGCTAGTCATCTGGAGGGTAGAAGGTGAACTTATTACAGGGACATGCCGGGAGGGTGCTCCCTGCTTCCAGAACACAGGGCAAACTAGCACAATCTTCTTCATTACTTGGCCTGTGGAGGCCCAAACATCTCTGCAAATTCTTTAGGGATTTCTGACTTCATGGCTGCCTCTGCCTCTAGGAGTCCTACTCACACTTGTGCTGCTGCAAGTGAGAAACTTGACCGTCACCTTCAATTTCAATGTTGGCAACAACAACAAAAGCAGCCACACACAACATCTGTGAATGCCCAGACCTTAACTGCAGTTTGGGATGGAGGGTGAGAGCAGGAAGGATGCACTCTGTGGTCACCACGCTTGGAGCACATCAGAATCACCTGGAGGGTCACCACGCTTGGAGCACATCAGAATCACCTGGAGGGTCACCACGCTTGGAGCACATCAGAATCACCTGGAGGGTCACCACGCTTGGAGCACATCAGAATCACCTGGAGGGTCACCACGCTTGGAGCACATCAGAATCACCTGGAGGGTCACCACGCTTGGAGCACATCAGAATCACCTGGAGGGTCACCACGCTTGGAGCACATCAGAATCACCTGGAGGGTCACCACGCTTGGAGCACATCAGAATCACCTGGAGGGTCACCACGCTTGGAGCACATCAGAATCACCTGGAGGGTCACCACGCTTGGAGCACATCAGAATCACCTGGAGGGTCACCACGCTTGGAGCACATCAGAATCACCTGGAGGGTCACCACGCTTGGAGCACATCAGAATCACCTGGAGGGTCACCACGCTTGGAGCACATCAGAATCACCTGGAGGGTCACCACGCTTGGAGCACATCAGAATCACCTGGAGGGTCACCACGCTTGGAGCACATCAGAATCACCTGGAGGGTCACCACGCTTGGAGCACATCAGAATCACCTGGAGGGTCACCACGCTTGGAGCACATCAGAATCACCTGGAGGGTCACCACGCTTGGAGCACATCAGAATCACCTGGAGGGTCACCACGCTTGGAACACATCAGAATCACCTGGAGGGCTTGTTCAGCCACTTCTGTGCAGCACCCTCAGGTTGAGTAGGTCTGAGGCCTGGCCTGAGAATTTGCATTTCTAACCAGTTCCTGGGAGATGCTGTTGCTGCTGGTCGGGGTCAACACTTAGCGGACCACTGGTTTCATAATAATCACGAAACAATAAAGCTGGGCATGGCCCCCAGAGCAGCCTGCGGTCCCAGCTACTTGGGAAGCTGAGGCAGGAGGATTGCTTGGGCCCAGGAGTTCGAGGCAGCCCCGCCAGCCTGTCTCTAAGAAGAAAGAAAGACAATAAGCAATAACTTTAAAACTCAAGAGGCAGGGCCGGGCCCAGTGGCTCACGCCTGTAATCCCAGCACTTCGGGAGACCAAGGCAGGCAGATCATGAGGTCAGGAGTTCAAGATCAGCCTGATCAACATGGTGAAACCCCATCTCTACTAAACATACAAAAATTAGCTGGGCATGGTGGTGTGTGCCTGTAATCTCAGCTACTCAGGAGGCTGAGGCAGGAGAACTGCTTGAACCTGGGAGGCGGAGGTTGCAGTGAGCCGAGATCGTACCACTGCACTCCAGCCTGGGCCACAGAGTGAGACTCCATCTCAAAAAACAAAAACAAAACAAACAAACAAAAAACCTCAGGAGATTATAATTTACTCTTCTTAAAATTTCACTGGCTCTACCCTGAACCTAATTCCAGTCTCTCTCCCTTACCACCCCTTCTCTCTCTCCTACTGTTCTCCTTTATTCTCTGAACTTTTCTCTCCCATTCTGTCCCAGGAGCAAATTCTCCTTCCTTAATGCAGAGGGATCCAGTGAGCTTTATTATTTTTGTTGCTTGATCTCTTCCAACAACCATGCTTTTGGGCCCTGAACACCATTTTTTTAAATGAAGTGAGAGAAAGAGTTCATCTCCCCACTTATTGTGTGGTTTCCCGGCCTAGCACGCAAAGCATAACCCAAAAAGGGGATGATATGATGAACCGCTCCCCCCAACACACACACAAGCACATACACTGTAGCCCAGCAGTCCCCTGCAGTTTTATGCTTGTGTGTGTGTTAATGCATAACAAAGGATTCAGCGCTATGGCCTGGTAACTGGAAAGTAGGTCAAAAGAGAGGGGTGAGACTGTCGCCCAAGTGAAAAAGATAGCAGAAGATAAGAAGGAAAACTGTTTCCAGAAATTGTCAAAAGACAGCCAGGTGAACAAGATTGTGGCCCGAGGTGGCACAGGATGCTGGGCTGAAAATTACAGCAGCATGCACAGCACTTATTGATAGGAGAATGCTCAGCTGTGCTCCTGAGGGCCCTTCAGCCTGCTTTGCATTCATAGGCAATTTATCCTCCTTAATCACTAAATCATTAATGGGGATCAATAGCAATGCCACATCAGTGAAGGCAGGGGTGCATGCGGGGAGAATAATTGCTTGCTTAGTTTTTAGTTTAGTGGTGCTAACCGGGCTTCGGGTCCATTCTGGGAGGAAACCCTTCTCCTGGGTGTTAGAGAGAACTGTACCCACAAAGGCAGCAGGAGTGAGACGGGCAGTTATTATGAATTCATCATGTTTTTCTAACTACTCAGGAACTCTGAACTATTGAATGTATTTCACTATTTAAATATAGAATGTTCCAGTTTGGTAGTCTAGCACTAGTGCCAGATAGTGGGTCCTGAAAGATTTAGATTTCTGATATCTGTGCCTAGTACTCTGGAGAAGCAGTGAGCAGTATTTTTGATTGGGCATCAGTTACCTTTAAGGGATCTTTCTCCTCTTGATAAGTTGTTCCCCCATTCCATTCTCCATCACTGCTTTTCCCTCACCTCATTCGACCTCATATCCTTAGCCTCTGGCACACTTGAGGTTTAATAAATGTTTGCTGTGTTGATTTAATAATCCCAAGTAAATACTCTAGGTTCGCCGCACCCTGTCATTACAGATAACTTGTAAATGTAATCTCAGACCTTACCATCTTGAGAAAAGTCAAAAACATATCTGGTGTGCTGGGAGGAGTGTGTCTGTGGGTGATGTGTGTGTGGATTTCTCTATCTCTTAGCATCTGACACCAAATTAGCATCTAATATTTCCTTTTTATTCAATGTGTTTTTTCACTTTTCTTTAAACAAATAAATCAATTTAATTTAATATGAAGAAATCAATATGTTCCCAATATCTTGGATGCTTTTAACAGCAAATAAATAAATATGACCTGCTTGTATTTTATCATTAAATTCATCCTTAGCCAATTTGCTTTGTATTTATATAAGGTCTTTTTAGCCCCTTTCATACAGAATGGAGTAAGTAACCAAGACTGGTGTCCTCAGAGTAACAATGACCCACATTCCTTCTCTTGGAGACTCTTGAGCCCAGACCAGCATTTACGCCCTCAGGCTAGAGCCATTCATCCATCAATCCACAAATATTGATAGTATGTCGCATCCCATGCCCATGACAACACAATGACCTGTGCACAGTACGACAGTATTATGTATTCATTCAGAAAAATTCAAAGTCAATACTGAATTAGGTACTGGGACTATGGCAGTGAAAAAGGCAGACACAATCTTCGTATAGCTTCTAGCAAGGATTTTACAAATGAGCTCCTAATAAAAAACTGATTACAATTGTAAAAAGTACTAAAATAAGTCAGTGCACAAGAAGAACACAAAACTGGGGACTCCGACCTATTTGGGGAACGAGGAGAGACTGGCCAGTGGCTTAGCTTTGCACCTTGGCTAGCACCCAGAACAGTATTTGCATAGGATAGTAATCAAATAGTTGGTTAATTGAATTTTTATGAAGTTTTAATAAAGCTTATGGAAAAATTTTAACCTTTATTTACTCAATATTCCTCTTAAATAAAATAGTATGCATCATTCTTCCTAGTATCTGAGTCATTAGAGACTTATTATGCTTTTTATGCCAAGCGAGGATCATTTAGTGTGGCCCTGTAATCAGAAAGGATCCCAGAGAGCTCACAGTAAACCTTCTTTTCAATGGCATGTAGGTGACCCCAGGATTGAGGTGCAAAGGTCTTTACAAGGTGTTTCTAGAAAGAGCATGGTTGGAAGTGTCTAATGCAGAGACACATTCACCCACCAATTCATGTGGTTTACAATTCCTTCCTTGTAGAGTCTCTTATATGCTTCAAAGTGTGCTCATAGTCAGTATCTCCCTAGATTGTGTGTTTGGAAGGTGTAATCCTTATCTCATTCAGCCTTTCGTGGTGCCTGGAATTGAGTCAATGTTCAGTAAATGTTTGCTGAACTGAACTGATAATCACCATTCTGAGAGGCAAGGAGACGATTATTAGACTCAGATTTCAAGAGAGAAAGCAGGTTCTGTGATGTTACGTGCATTTCTCAAAGTCCTATAGAAAATTAAGAAACAAACTGAGGCTAACCCTGGAGCATCCTGACTCTGTCAAGGTAAGCACTTATATTTTTAAAACAAAAGCCATCAGTATCTGGCATTGTGTAACAAAAGAAAAAAAACCAATAGATGGCCAGCCGAGAAGATTCTGTAATGACCTAATCAACGTGGAAATTTCTGCCATAATAAATAAATACATAAATAAATAAATAAATTCAGGTTGATATTTACAAGATCAAATGAAAGCTTTCTCTGGGAAAAAAAATTAAAGCATACCAACAAGGGCACAGGCTCCCTTAGAGGATATGTGCTAAGTAAAGAAGCTCTGACATTTTCTTTGTAGAATTGCTTCATGAATAATAGTCTATCTTCTGAAGATATCTCAGTACACTAAAAAGCCCTTAACCAGCAAAACAGGCAAATTAGCACAAATCCAGTAACCTTCTCAAGCTGGTGTGAGCTGTAATGCAGCATGTTTGTAAGGAATGTAAACTATGTTGTACTATGCACGCACGGATGATTGTGCTGTCGTGAGCACTGTGGGAGATATACTATCAATATCTGTGAATTGATGGATGAATGGCAGTAGCCTGAGGGTGCAAATTCTGGTCTAGGCTCAAGGGTCTCCAAGAGAAGCGGTGTTAGTCATTGTTATTTCGAGGATACCAGTCCTGGCGAACTACTCTACTTTATACTGAAGGGGCTAAAAGGAAAGAAGCAAACTCAACTGACTATTGAGGAACCATTTGCTTGTGCTTCATAGATTGATTCCATTCCAGTGTTACTAGATAGGCAAGCAACGTCTCTGGAGTGGCTATATGAAACCATTTTAGGAAGGCAGTGCGTTTGGATCCTTCCAGAATAAAAAGCTCAGACTCTAAAAATGCCATTCCTTAATATGCTCACAATTGCCACCGACAGGAAGTTACTCCTGGTATGCCACAGCACACACAGCCTGTTAGAATCTGCCACCCCTTTTGATGTACTTTGTGATGGAAAAACATATCATGGTGACACCAGTCCGGAGTCACATTTGCTCTGCAGATCAAGCCACTCCCTCTAAGAGTGATTACACACTCCCAGCATGAATCTTTCCTCTTTTTAGTGGTGCTCAGCTTTTATATAAAGGGGGAAGCAAGTGTAAGTGATTCCTAATCCCCTCGCTCTAAATTCCTTCCTTCCCTAAATGGTGACTCATTTTGCCTTTTGGAAGGGCCAAACCATTATTCCTTCTAAAGGATTAGAAACAACACCAAACTCTGGTTTAAACTGTTGAAAGAGACCATGTAGGTTAGCTGTTCTAGCACCATAGTTTTGTTTAATTCCTGGGCTCCCTTTGCCAGACTTGAGCCTAATGACCAAGGAAATGGAACTTGCTCTGACTTTGAAATAGCATGTAAATAAGCAGAAGGAATGTATCAGCCCATGCAATGATGAATGATCTTCCTTCTCACAAAGAGGTTATACAGATACTAAAATCAGTAGGCTCAGCATTTGTTTTTACATGTTTGTTATAAATCCTTACCTTCTCTGGGTCGGGAGGACAGTGGGAATGTCAGAGGGTGACTGAAATCCACCCCAAATTTTCTTGGCCCACTCTTTTCTTTTTTAACTACCCTTCCATTCCCACCAGAGGAACAGTAAAATAAATGAGGTCATTATTCTTCACTACATGCCTCTTGTAAATTGTTAGTCAGCCTGCAAGGGTGGTTATTTACGAGGCATTTTGAAGGTCTGTTCTGGTGACAGAGTTGCTCTGGGCAGTGGATGGAGGTGCTGTGTCACACTCACCAATGGTGCCATGTGTAATCTGTTTTTCTCAGAGTTTTATCGTAATGGTGGTTGTCTGCCAGAGGTCACCTACGATCAAAGAGTTGTCAGTTGGTCCAAGGTGCAGCCGCTCCTACTCTGGGAGCTGTCTAGACCTTATTTCTCCCCTCAGTCCTCAGTTAAGTATAGTTTCCAGCTCCCACATTCCACACAAGCCTCATACACGTCTACCTTCTACCAGTCCAAATTGTTGGGTTTCTAGAATAGTGAGTTGTTTGTTAGTTTGTTTTTCCTATTAGTCGAGCCTTCCATTTTACTAAGTGAAGAACTAGCTTCCCCTGAAACTTAGTGAAACCCCACCGCTCTGAAGCTAACCAAAAATTTAAAAACAAACGAAAACACTATCAAAAAGCCAACAGCAAAAATCTCCAAGGGCAAATGATTACATTTTTCTATTTTTGTTAGCCTTCCAAACATAGGGAGTTTTTTTGGAGTTTCCATCGTGATACAATTTTTTTTAACCTTGCTTTGGACAACTATATTTTAAAGTGACAGATCTGAATAAAAACGGGAAATAAAGCACTGCTTTCCACCCTCAATCTTCTTTTTAAAATCATAAATAAATTTAAAATTAAAATCGAGCCTTCCCATTTGACTTCCTTGCCATACTGTGGATTCATGATAATGTCTGCCTGTTTGAGGTGAGATTTAATTCAAGTGTTGGAAGGGAAAGGGTGGCCTAGTCTGGAGCTCCAGAACTCCTCTCTATCATGCTTTGCCACTTAAATTTATCACTTCCCATCAATACTAACGCAAAGCCCAAAGGTAAATCCTTCATTTTCTTGGACTTCTTCCTTACTCTCTAAGCTCCAGACATCTTCCCCATCTCTCATTCTTTCAGTACACATTGATTGATTTCCTACCGTGTTCCAAGGCACAGTGTTGGGGGCTGGGGACGCAGTCATCCGATCCTTTGGACCCAAGAGCCATGGACTACTTAGAAGGCAGCTTATTCAAATCCTAGCTTCACAACTCACTAGCTGCATGACCTTGGAAAAGTTATGTTTCTCTCTGCCTCAGTTTCCTCATCAGTGAAATGGGGCTACTTTCCTCACAAGGATGTTATGAGTGTTGATGAGTTCATGTGTCTTGTTATAAAGCACTTAGAAAGTTCCTGGCCATAAATAAGCAGTATAACAATGCTTATTTACATGCTACTACTTAAAAAAAATTAAGAAGTAAATACTTAAACACATACTTATTCAATAAATATAATCATTAAACGGCAATGTCCATACAGTGGGATAAATGTTACCCCCGCCTCCATAGGGCACTAAGGGAACAAGGTTTAATTCAATCTGTGCTGGAAAGGAAAGGGTTCAGGGAGACTTAAAGAAGGAGAAAAAAGTTGTGTTGAAGGACTCTGATAATAAAAAAGAGCACAACCCTATATTGCTCTTAAAGAAAAACTAATGCACAAAAGTTGGACTTGTTAATCTCTTTTTAAATGGGTAGCTTCACTTAAATGGAAACACATTTTAGAAAATAACTTTATCTGATGGAAAAGTCTCATTATAGAAATAAAAAATAATAAAAGCATAAAAAGAGCTCAAAGATCTACAAATTAGAGACACTAACAATTAACATTTTGTTGTAATGTCATCCATTTAAAGTATTTTCAGTGCTTTTCATTTTTAATTGGCAATTAATTGAATATATTGTTCTTTTCAAATAAACACACATGTACATTTACATGGCTAAAAGAAAACTTTCCTTTTCACCAATCTTCCAATCCTAGAGAATCCCCAGGGAAAACCAACTTTAACTGTGTATATCATTACAGATACTTTGCTATCATTTTATGTATTGATGGCATATATATACCTAGAGAATTTAGGTTTTTTAAAACCACAAAAGAGATTGTGTCAACCTGTTGCTCTGTACCTCATTTTCTCACTCAGTATATCTTGGAGCGTTTTCTATATCAGTACCTGCATCTTCTTTTTAATGGCTGCTTGGTATGGTCATATCATGTTGTTTTGGTGTTTTGTTTACAACTATTTGGATTGTTTCCCATTTTTACTATAGCACGTTATGCCATTTTGAAGGTTGCACATACATTTTGTACAAATGTTACTGTAGAATAGACATCTAGAAATAGCATTGGGCAAAGTGAATTCACATTTTAAATTTGCATAGATATTGCCTAATTACCCTTCTAAAAGGCTGCAGTATTTTACACTACAGCCATAGTAGATGAGAGTATCCATCTCTTCATACCCTCATTGGCACTGGTGGTTAATCATTTGTTTTAATATTTGCCGATATGGTAGGAGAATTATGGTATTTCATTGGTATTTCATGGTTAATTTGGTTTTTATGTCTCTGATTGTTAGTGGAGTTGAGCATTTTTTCATATATTTATTGAACGTTATGTTTCTCTACCTGCTTATATCTGGAACATGTCAGGTGAAATAAAGATCGTCAGGGAGAGACACACATGTGCCTCTTAAATCTATGGATACAGTTTGTATATAGTAGGATAAAGAGATCTTACTGACACTTTTTTTCTTACATAGATAACCAGCTGTCAAAACACCACGTATTGATCAGATCTATTTTTACCTATTGATTTTAAGGGCCATCTTTATTATTTACTAAGATTTAATACACATCTAGCTCCTTCCATATATTTGTCCATTACTGTGCTAATGTCAGTTTTAAGTGTAGCTTTGTTTCAGTTAGCTATAATCACACTAATGCTACATTAAAAAGAACCAGAAAATCTTAGTGGCATACAACAATAAGCACTTACTCAGGGATCTGGGGCTTGGCTGGGATTGGGCTCATCCAGACTGGGCTTGACTAGCCAGCTCTGCTTCCGGTGGGAACAGCTGGAGAGGATCCGTCTCTCCCTGAGAGCTCCGGAGACCCTCTGCTCTGGTGCCTCTCATCCTTCTTTGACCAGTGGGCTTGCTGGGTCATATTTTCCTCAGGGTAACAGCAGATTTGTATGATCACATGCTCAGCTGCGCAGTCATATTTTAGACCCCTACTTGCTTCTGCTAACATTGCTTCTGCTAACACCCCATTAGCCAAAATAAGCCTAAAGTTAAGAGAGGATATTCCACATTTAGAGGGAAGAACTGCTAGTTACATGGCAAAGGGCATAGATGCAGGAAACTATAAATTGGGGTCCAAAGTTTAATTTACCTTTGGGCAAGTCCTTCAATCTTTCTTCTTTTTCAACATATTAGTTTTTGGCTATTTTCTCTCTCTCTCTCTCTCTTTTTTTTTTTTTTTTTTTTTGGGACAGATTCTAGCTCTGTTGCCCAGCCTGGAGTGCAGTAGTGCTATCTCGGCCTCCTGGGCTCAAGCGATTCTCCTGCCTCAGCCTCCCGAGTAGCTAGGATTACAGGCACACACCACCATGCCTGGCTTATATTTTTATTTTTAGTAGAGATGGGGTTTCACTGTATTGGCCAGGCTGGTCTCAAACTTCTGACCTCAAGTGATCCACCTGCCTCAGCCTCCCAAAGTGCTGGGATTACAAGCATGAGCCACCACGCCCTGCCTGGCTGTTTTCTTTCACATTGTTTTTTCCAGATAAGCTTTTGAATGAGCATGCAAAGTTCCAAAACTTCTGAGTAGAAGTTTGGTTGGGTTCACATTGGTCATATAGACTAATTTGGGTAGAATTTATATCTTTACATTACTGAATGTTCACATCCAATTGGAAACATTTTGTATGTGTTCATTTTGTATTTCAGTTTTATATCTTTTGACAAAGTTAATTTTTCTTATAAATATTTTCAGATAAACTCAAAAGCAGAAAGAGTAGCACAATGAATATCTACTTATATGACTCTCAGAGTTAATGGTTATCAAGATTTTGCCACATTTGCTTTATCTATCCCTTTTTTCCTTATTTTTTGCCTTAGCATTTTCAAGTAAATTCTAGTAATCATATTATTTTACCTGTACATATTTTAGCGTGTAGCTTTTTAAAAATAGACATATATACAGTATACATAGATACATATGTACATATGTGTGTATGTATGTGTTTATGTGTGTTTGTGTATAATTATTGCAGCTAATACAAATCAACAAGAGCTCCTTGGTATTATCTAATGAACCATCTTTAATTTTCCCAATGTCTAAAAATTATCTTTTTAGTTAGTTTATTTGGATTAAGGTCTGTAGATTAAATTTGGTTGGTATGTCACTTAAATCTTTTCCTCTAGAGTAATCCTCTTCATCTGTTTCTTCATGCCACAAACTTATGGCTGAAACTGAGTCATTTTTTATGTAGAACTTTCCATATTCTGAATTTTGCTGATTCCATCCCCCGGTGTCATGAAATATTTTTCTCTAACCACTGTGGGATTTTTTTTTAACCACTGTGGCATTTTCTGTTAAGCAGCTGGTTAGATCTACAGACTCTGTCAGATTCAGCTCCAAGTGGCATTTTTTTTTTGGAGGAAGGGGCAAAAATATTTCATAAGTCACGCCATTGCTTCCTAGGACATTCATCCTGGCAGAAGATACATATATTTAGGTTTGTCAATAGTATCTGGTTCACGTTTTATCAGTCTCATCCACCCGTTACGAAGTTCTCTTCTTAACGAATTATTTCTGCCTCAATTCGTTACTTCATTAGGGATTGCAAGATCGTGACATTCTAATTCTACCATTCCTTTTGCATTTATTATAATCAATTATTTCGTTACCTTGAGGTAGAATTCGTGTAAAAACGCTTAGATGCCTGTCCCAAACACACACATTTTCCTGAGTGCGATTTACACTTGTAGGGTCCTGTCTGTGTTAAAGATGCTTTGCTGCTCTCCCACCAGGCCTGGGAATAAGTACCAGACTGATGATAGACGGGGAGGATGATCCTCCTGAAATTCTAGCCACAGGGAAGAAAAGTCCTTGCAATGAAAGACACTGGCCAGGGAAGCTGGTTGGACACACACACATACTTGCACATTCACAAGTATCTTTCATTAAAAGGAGATGACCTACTGCTTCCCTCCTGCCAGTGATGGGCCACAAAACAGACATGACACGTGGGCCTTCTCACGTGTCCCAGATTTGTTTTAAAAGTCATTTTCAATTCATCTAGTTTTCTATTAATGTTAAAAGGTTGGAAATTATATTTTAATTAGTGTTAGAGACGTACATCAGCATCATAGAATTCTGAAACTACTGATGCAACAGAATCATAAAATGTTTAATGAGACATATCAATTTAATTCTGCTGCTTGGAACTTAAAGAGCCAGAGTTCGTCAGCATTTTGCTAACAAATGTCATCATTTACAGACTGAATTTGGTGCTGATTATGTTCACCATTACTAAAAATATTGGGAAATGAGCTATGCTTGGTGAAACAAAGGGCATTTTTTAAAAATTTGGCTGATTAAATGTAGTTTAGAAACAAAATAAACTTGCATAAACTTGCAAGTGTTTGGAAACAGTCTGGTTTGGTAATAGTCACTATGTTTAAACCCTGATGCAGATGATGCTGTGTATCTGGACAATGAGAAAGAAAGAGAAGAGTATGTCCTGAATGACATCGGGGTAATTTTTTATGGAGAGGTCAATGACATCAAGACCAGAAGCTGGAGCTATGGTCAGGTGAGCCACTTAAAATTTGTTATTGTCAAGGACATTTTTACTTCATATTTTTTGTCACATGTATCCCTACAGGATCCCATATATCGATATTAGACAAGCACAATTTCCTGCTTTTTAGGATCTGAGACTCCAAGGCAGAGAGCATAGGAGTAGGGACTCATAAAGACAACTGCGTAATTTATCAGCTGAAACCACATATCTCTGGGTATTACAGTGTTACAGAAATGAGAGATTCCATGAATAATGTGGCATTCTATTGAGAAATGCTTTGGCCACTTAGAACAGTGAAATCTCATTAGTTCAACCTGGCTTATAAAGAAAGGTATTTTCAAAGTGATGCAAAGAATACTGCAAGGGGTGTGCCCAATTCAAAGAAATAGCTTCTTTTTTTTTTTTTTTAAGTGTTAGCCTAGGGTACTGCTAATTAGAAAAGAGTGTTATCATTTCATCAAAGGAAGGGCCACTGAGCTTTTACATAGAAAGATTTTATCAGCTGCAAGTTGATTGTCTAGACACAAAGTAGCAAATGGCATTTCTTTAAGATGTTCAGTCATTCAAACTATTTCAGTTTGGTATCTTTAACAATGGAGCAAATGAATGATATTTTACCAATTTTCCATAAATGAATGCATGTCCTGTGATTTCAAAATGATTTTTAATTAGCGACACAAGCGGGGGCGAATGTCATTTCTCAGGAGTTTTGGCTGGGATGGCTGGAACTGTGCATCATTGCGCTGGGCATCCAGCAGGGAGTTTTCATGGAATCTGGTGGTCACAGGGTACTTTCTTGGCTCCGGATGCCTTGCTTTGACTTCCATATGGGATCTCCCTGTGTTCCTTACCCACTGCTCCAGTACCCGTGTTATCCTGCCTACCTGGCTTTGTGAACAGCTTCCCTGACTCCGGAGAATTACATGCCCAGTGCTCAGGCTTCCCCGCCTGCATTTCTAATGTCCTGCCAAGCTACAAGCTAGTTGGCACCCCCTGTTCTTGGATTCCTGCCTGACTCCCTGGTTTCAAGCCATCCCCTCCTCAGTGACATGCAACCTTTGACTATACTGCCTACTGCCTGATGCCCTTGTCTTGGGTCCCCAATTTCTAGCCTTTAGCCTGGTGATTCTATTTATGGCCCAAATATGACAATCTATAGATAGCTAACAAGGGGAAAAGTCATCAAGGTGGGCAGCAAGGAGGTCTGGAAAAGTGTCCCAAGCCCAGTCAGGGCACTCTTCGCCAGCTTGCCTTTGGGTAGGCACCCTGGAGCACAGTCACTTGATTGTATCTTCTGCCACTCAAAGAGGCTATTGGTGTGTATCCTTTGGCCAGAATAACCAGCCAAGCATGTTTACAGTGATGCAGGGAATCAATCCGTTCTATGACTATTTCCTTAACTCTCCAGTTAGTTGCTATCCTGCCCAGCAAACACAGCTGAGAGAAGCTGCTTAATAAGAACCAAAATACTGAGCTATTTGCATACCTGAAGAACTAGTGCAATTACCCATTACTGCATCCATCCTGTCAGTTTGGGATACACCCAGAGTGGGTATTCTAACTGGACTGAATAAAGAATTGTGTGGTAATTAGCCATTATGATTGTGGTTTCTGTCACAAGCACTTGGGTGGATAGCACACAAGGTTTCTCTA
Source organism: Homo sapiens (assembly GCF_000001405.40). NCBI lineage: Eukaryota > Metazoa > Chordata > Mammalia > Primates > Hominidae > Homo > Homo sapiens. Next base: position 6,249,166 of record NC_000006.12, on the reverse strand, counting down.
TTCAGGAAAATCTCTTACTACAGTGAGGTACAGTATAGGTAAAATCTTCCTGTCTTGCTATTTGATCTTTATTCCTTTTTAAGAAAATTCTGGTATTGCCTGTGGCTAGCAGTTCTTTCTAAGAAGACTGAACTGGTACCAGACTCCTCCCTTGATAGTGTAATCTACTTTCTGCAGCCTTCTGCCCTCTCCTTGATCCTGGGGTCCACCTTGTCTCAGAAGAGGGGAAACCTTAGAGGGACAGTCACTATATGAGGTCTCCTACTATTTTGGGTGCAAACTAAGTAGTGTGAAGCACCTTCCTGTGATACACCTGAGAGCTCTTTATTTTCTAAATGCACGAGGATTCACATTACTTTCGAGGTCCTAAGACTCTGGCCTGACTTTGGTAAATGATTCATTCCTTCTTCTTGGGTACAGGAGCCAATATGTTGAAAAGACCTTCTAAATTGAATCATTTTCTGAAGAACTTCAAGTCAGCTTATGATCCCTGAGTATATCAACTCTCTAGTATTTCTGTTTATGTTTCTGGCTTGCTTTTATATTCTTATTCACTTTAATGAAAAACAAAAGAAGATGTCTCATTCCTTCTACTTTAATATTTCATACTAAAGATTATGGGAGATCACTATACAGGAAACACACATTTCTAAACATTAGGTTGTGGTTTCATGTTATTTTTCATCAGAGAATATTTTGCTTGCAGAGTGAACACTAGTTTCTCTTTGTTTTTCTTTCTCCAAATAGTTTGAAGATGGCATCCTGGACACTTGCCTGTATGTGATGGACAGAGCACAAATGGACCTCTCTGGAAGAGGGAATCCCATCAAAGTCAGCCGTGTGGGGTCTGCAATGGTAAGCAGCAATTACTGATACCTAAAATCTGTTACACCTGTCATTTGCCTCAGTATATATGCCAGTTCATTAAGAGCTGCTGAAATGATGACTTACACTTAATAAACTTTCATTTGTAAGATTCTAGCTTCTGACACCCAGTTATAGCTCCTGGAATTTTCTGAGCTTATCATGTGCTATAAAACAAAATTATCGTCTCAATACTGTATGTTTCTTTGGCTTTAGAAAACAATGATAGATATAATGATACTGTAGACCAGTTATTCTTAAGAACCCCTTGCCTAGAGACTGAGGAGTGATCATGACAAAAATGTCAATGACTATAATCAAACAGTTGATCAACCAAACATCAAGGTGCACAGAAGATGTGCAAGGCACAGCTTTTCTCAATTTTCACACTGATAGTAAGAGTGAAGAAATGAATGGCTACATCTCATCCTAACTCCTGTCACAAGGATGTGTCACTGTAGGGCTTTCTCACTTACGAAGTGGGTATTGATTCTTTGCAGGATCCTGTGTGGTAAGTAGGGCAGCCATTACTCATGCACTTTTACAAGTTAGGACACAGGGTAAGGACAGCTTTCAGTGACAAAGCCACAGCTAGAACTCCGGTCTGCTGACTTCAAATCTAGACATTTTCTACTTTTCATGCCGCTCTCTGCAGGATATCCTAAAACAACTTTGAGAATGCAGAGATCTTGCAGTGGAACAACTTTCTGAGAAAGGAGATAGAACTCCCATGAGTGGGAAGGGTGGGCCAGGCATAGGACGTGGATTAAATGGGATGTCCAGGACCCATGCAGTCCTGGATTATATCAATGTACCCAACATGGAGAGCCAGATGTTGGTACAGAGAAGTAGACCCAATCTGGCTGAAGAGTAGATTATTTCTGAAGAAATGTTAAACTGGGTGGTATTTCAAACAATCAAAGACTGAAAAAAAGAAATACTTATATTACCAATTTCCCTAAGTTTTCTAAGAAATCCTCTTTTTGAAAGAATGTTATGTTTGAGTTTGGTTTGTATATTCTTTTGAGCTAAATGAAATCAATATTGTTAATATAAAAATATTAGACTGTGAATGATATGAAATATAATTTCTGGTTAGCTTTTAAGAATGGTGGCTTTTATTTTATTAATAACTAAGCTACATGTGAATTTAAGAAACAGCAGAGCATAAAAAGTAAAAATAGAAACCAACATGTAAAGGCAGTTTTGTTTCCTATGCATTTACATTCCATAATGGGAAGCCAATGAATTCCAAAGATTTGGGGGAATGTTGAATTTGGGAAATGTTTACCAAAGTGTCATGACCGTTTATAACAAATATATTAGACTTGCATCTGATCACTATTTTTACTGTTTCGCCCACAAGATTTCTCTTTTTCTTCTTTGAAGTTACCATAACAATTTTGCAGTAAGAAAGGAAGCAACAGCTAGCAGTGGTTAAATTTAAATTAATTCCTTCTTAAGCATTCTAAAATGGCACACTCATCAGCATAAGCTTACTCACACACTGTGTGTACTTTTACGCACCCAGAAGTCAGAAATCACTGCCTAGCAGAAGCCAGTGCAAAAGAGAAGCAGACAGGAAGCAGTTAACCTAATGTGTCTGTGGTGGCAGCTGGCTAAGCGGAAGCTGTTAATTATTGAATAAGCACACATACTCCTAATGCAAATTGCCCTGAGATTTTATTAATCATGTAAAGCCTATGAAGTTCTAAGTTTGAAAATTTATATCCCAATTAAAAGATTTAAAACTAGACAGAGAAAATCCATTTGGAAAACGGTTTGGTTTTATTTTTGGAGGGGGAGAATTTGGGTGTTAAGGGGTAGAGGTCCTGACCTGAGACATTTTGAGCAATATTTCCATTTCCGTCATACCCTTGTTTATATACACAAAATATTCAATGGTTTTCAAAAACACTTTCACCTCTATTAGCTCCTTTAAACCTTAGAATACCTCTGTGAATCTTTCCAAAATCTGTTCCGTTTTAATAATTTTAAAAGCTAAAATACTGAGCCTCCAAAAATCAATTTAAAAAATGACACAGAGGAAAGATCAAGTGTTCTTTGGTCATTCAGGCAGATACTCTCCCGTTCACAAATCCTGGAAATCTATCATGAAATTTCTGAATGCAGTTAAACAAAGAACAAAGACAAAAAAAATCTTTAAATTTCTCAATGAATGATTTGACTTTATTAGTATGAAAAGATGTGCCTAGAGAGCCCACAAGAAAATGTTCTGAAGTTGTGGACTCTTAGCCAGAACCCTGTTGCAGGGCGACAGAGCTGTGTGTGTTTTCTCAGGGGCTGGGCCCAGGCCTCACAGGTAAAACAGAGGCTGGTGCAGAGTTGTTCTGAATTCCTCTCAAACACCTCCCAGCCTGGTCATAGAGGCTAGAAATCCCATTCGCAGGTTGCAAATGCCAGAGCAGCGGTATAGGTGGCATGTGGACTCTCCAGAAGAAATAGCACATAGATCTCAGTTCATCCCCAGGTGAGAGTGAAGGAAGGCAGAACTTTCCTGAGGGCACTTGCTGCTGGGAAACAGTGAGGATGAGCAGACCAGTCTTTGCTGGGTATCTGGAGAGAGTGGAGCTGGGTGGGGACAAGATGCAGAGCACACGACTGGGGCCCCAAAGACAAATTTGCTTACTGTGGTCCAGGACAAGTCTAGCACTGAAGGTTGGCAAGGAGTTTTCAGGCAACAGGTGGGTGCATGTTGAAAAAAGCACCGATAACCCAAATTGTGCAAACTTTCAATCATAATAAGAATCTGAATTTGGGCCAGGAACGGTGGCTCACGCCTGTAATCCCAGCACTTTGGGAGGCCGAGGCGGGCAGATCACCTGAGGTCAGGAGTTCAAGACCAGCCTGACCAACATGGAGAAACCCTATCTCTACTGAAAATACAAAAAATTAGCCAGGCATGGTGATGCATGCCTGTAATTCCAGTTACTCAGGAGGCTGAGGCAGGAGAATTGCTTGAACCCGGGAGGCAGAGGTTGTGGTGAGCTGTGATCACACCATTGCACTCAAGAGTAAAACTCCATCTCAAAAGGATTTTAAGTGCACAATCCCCAGATAAAAATATTTATTGTTCAGTATATTTATATTTATTGTATGTGACCTTGGGTAATTGTTTGTTGTAGAAGGTTGTCCTGTGTAGAATGTTTAACGACATCCCTATCTTCTACCTGGGGGATGCAAGTTGTCATAACTGTTCCCTTACCAGTTGTGACAACTCAAACTGATTCCACATATTACCAAATGTCTACTGGGGGTAAAAATCACCCTTAGTGAGGATGACAGCACTAAACCCCTCTGTGACTCAGTTTCTCCACCTATGGAATGTAAGTAACACTCTCTTCTCACCTGCATAGCGAATCTGTCTTCCTAACTCACTCAAAACCTGCTGGTTTTCATCCTTGACTGAAAAGAAAGTGAAGGCAGCATCATATGGGAAGCGACTCAGCTCGTGTCGAGGGATTGGACCTTGATTCTGGTTGTGCTATTAACTTACTATGTGACCCAGGGTAAATAACTCACCTCTGCTGGCCTCGCATCTTTGTCTTTAAAGTGAAATTTTGTCTCTGTACTCAAACCACATTGGCAGCAAGAATACTCTTTTATTCTTCAAAATAGTGCTCTCCCTTCTTCTATTTTTTCCTTTATACATTCAGTAACTTCCCTTGTTCTTATATTGAGTTGCTGTTATTTCACTTTGATGTAAAAGTAGGAAAAGTTATGACAATCTGGACAGCCTGGGGCTATTGGAGTTTCCCAGGAGAAAGCAAGTCCAAAATCCTGTATTCTCATCATCTAGAGATTAGGCCTGAGATATTATAACCTTACATAAGCTAACTTTTGCTTAGGCTCCTTTAAATACTGAGTGGTGCATTTTACCAAGCTATACTGCAGATTGATTTAAGAGAGAAAAGAAAAAAAAGAGAAGCAATTAGAAAAAATGAAGAAACTTGCCCACAGTTATACTTCTCCCTTTAAATTGCATTGCTTGATTGCTGCTTTCTTTTCAATGCATTTCTGATGTGACAGTTCCCACCAGGAAAATTGCCAGAGAAAGCTAAGGAGAATGCTTAACTTTGTGCCATCCGAACACTTACTTCCCTCACATGGCATTAATAAAGCATTCTATTGCTAGCCCCAAGTTTCTGTGAATAAGCCAGACATGGACTCTGAGCCCTGAGTCAGACTATCAAAGAAGGTGGGCCGTGACATATTGTGACAAGGGCAGCATGGTTCTGGGGAAAAGGGAAGGCTGTGCAACCACCTGGCATTACTGCGGCGTGGTTACCTGTCTATGCCTGTTCCTGCCTCCCGACTGATAGGATCTGGCAGCAACTATGGGCAGAGAATTTCCCCCAAGGAGATGCAGCTGCTTCTGCAAAGGCTGCCGCTACTGCAGATAAAGGCTCGTTATTCACTGTGACACACCTACATGTACCACCTCCATCCATATTTGCTCCAGTGGGTCAAGGCATTACCAGTGGAGGATCTGTGTCGAAACACATGCTGAACCAGCGTGTGCAATGGGGAGGACTCTCCAAGAGTCTTCTGGGTGAGGAAGCAGAAGCCCTTGGAAGTGGTGTCCCTCACTCAAAGTCACACAGCAAATAAGTGGCTGAGCTGAAACCAGATATGGTCCTTACTCTCAGATCATATTACCTTAGAGGGCCACTATCAACACGTTATTGCCAATAACACAATAATTATGTAAGATTGAATTGCCATTTCCTAGAAAAGAAGAGAGCCCCAAGGGAATGGAGCCCAGATGAGGCAAATTATTGAAAATGGGGAATAAGTGAAGAAAGGTATCAATCAGAGGATTCTAAATAGCCATAGGCACTGGGGCCCTGGAGAATGAGCTTCCAAAGACGATCAGGTACCAAATATGATATGATAATGGTGGTGGTGTTTGGTGGTGGTGGTGATAGAGTTAGTGATGATGGTGGTGGTGACGGTGGTGGTGATAGTGATTGTGATAATAATGGTGGTGATGGTAGGGTGATTATGGTGGTGATAGTGATGATGATGGTGATGGTGGTGGTGGAGATGGTGACGGTGATGGTGGTGGTGATGGTAGGAGTGATGGTGGTGGGAGTGATGGTGGTAGTGGTGGTGATGGCGTAATGTGGTGGTGGTGGTGATTTATGATGGTGGTGATAGTGGTAGTGGTGGTGGTGATGGTGGTAAAACACTCAGTATTTACTCATTTGTTTGACAAATGTTTATGGCAATCTACCAGTCTGAACACTGGAGTACAATTGTGAACAAAATTAAGTTTCTGCCTTCACAAAGCTTACAGTCTAACAGAGAACACAGACTAGTAAATAGAAAATTTTAGCTCAGCATGGCAAATTCTGTGATGGAAATAAGCATAGGGTTGTATGGGAAAGCAAATCTCTCAAATGTAGCTCAAAGGTTTCCCAGGACTAAACATTGGATCAAAAGATAGAAGAATGTCTGAGGTCCCACAGTAATTAACCATGCTATTATTTGAAGAAACCCTTTCTCCATGGTGGAAATTATATACAAACAGCTAGTCACCAAAAGCACTGAAGAAAAATGTAGTAGAGGGTTATTTGCTCTTCTGGGGGCTTGTTTGTTTTGCAATTCAGAAAACTAAGGTTGACACAACTGAAGTTTATTCCATAGGATCTCAACATTTACAGTTACTTGATCCATGGTATTCTGATTCAGTTGTAGTAAGAAAAAAGGTAATATTAATGAGAAAATTAGGAAAGTAGGAGGAGAGAAAAAAACGTCAATATAGTTACATATTTTTAAATTTCAGTGTTTGTACTGCTGCCATCCTGGACTATCCAGCTTCCCTTGAGATGTATGCATTTATTTTTAACCCTGGCCTTTTGCTAATATCGAACCACAATGCCATCATTAATCCCCATTAATACTTTGCTCTGACTATGCCTTTTGGGAACTAACTCATGACTAAACTTTTTTAACCAATCGATGTTCGATGTACTCTTTAGCATTGTAAAAAAATCTTGAACTTCAGCTAGTAAATCAAACTGACCACAATTCGGAGTAGGTCCTGGATTTTTCTAGGACACAGTACAAGATGAATGACTGTAGACCTTTGAGATGAAATGGACTTTAGTGCTTCTGATCCTCATGCATCTGTGATCCTACAGATAAACAGAAAATAAAGTTATTTTCCCTTTGTCCATCTTTTCCTCCCCCTCTTTTTGTCCCAGTATTTAGAAAGATTTTTTTCTTTCCATGCATGAAAAAGACAGTAATGACATAACTACTTTTATATCTTGCCAAGCAGCTCCTCAAGGGGTTAACTATAAAACCATGTTTTGTTCATTTTCTTTCAATTGTTTACTTGGTCATCTTATAGGAAGCTTCACGTTGAGCAAACCTCTTCATGCAACAAACCTTAATTATAAATATTCAGATTACATTTAAAAGTTCACTTTGATTAGAAATTTCACACCTGAGTCATCCCAAATGAACTGTAAAGACAGAAATAAATATATAAAGTTTGTATTTATTTCTAAAGTTTATTCCTTGATCATACAGACCAGTCACAAGGTACTTTCGTAACAGTTTTATTAAGAAAAATTTTAATTACAAAGCAATATCTAACCCATCCTTTGGTTTATAAAGCAGCTTAAACCTCTTTTTTTGGAGTGAACGGTCGTAGATACATCTGAGGACCCAGGTGCTCAATGGGCATTGTCCTTGGCATTTCTAAATCACCAAGGAACTTTTTCACATTTACCCATATGGATTTTAATTTTTGAAAAAGTTCATCTATCAAAACAAATCATGATTATGTAATAATACCTTGTTACCCCATTCTTGTGTCAGATTTATATAACTGCCAATGGGAACTTCTAATGATGGTGGCGGTGGTGGTAATCATCTCTACCAGATAATGAGTATGACCACACTGAATATGATTCGGTGTCACTTTGTGGGGGTAAAGATACAACTTCCATCTGGTCTTTTATAAAAGCGACAACAGCCTACCTGCATTACTAACCCACAGATGCCTAGAGGTCAAAATTCCCCAGGTGGTGACCACTGCCAGATGTAGGTTCCATCATGGACTTGAGTCTCCATCCAGAGCTTCTGGGTCTCCAACCCTATCAGCTTTTATTTAAAAGTGTTATTGTCTCTTTCTATGATTCATATCAGGAATGAAATTTCTCAGTTTGGAACAGCAGAAAAAGGCAGAAGCCTCCGGTGTTCCTTGCAACCTTTCCAATTGTAACGCATATCAATTAGTAGGAGCTCTCGGGGTGACAACTTTGGGAGAATCCACTGATTTATATTAATGAAGAGTGTTACTGTAGTCCAACAGAGTAAAGTACTAAATTACCAACTCTAAAAAGATTTTTTAGAAAACCATTAAAGTTAAAGTCAAGGTATTTCTAAGAATGAAAGTCATTTCTATGATTCTAAAATGACCCAGGGAATTCAATGATGAATGAGAGGTACAGACTCAAAGCAATTCTCTAATGTATTCAAAGTAAACAATACCATAAGGTCACCTTATTCACCAGGGATTTTCATTTCTGTTCATTGAAGATTTTTAAAAAATTGACAGATATATTGGAAGCCAGTGGGAAAATAGAATTTATCTAACAGAAAGTATCTTCATAGCCACTTTTGAGAAATTGCATAAATCCATTCCATAAATAACCAAAGTGCAGGTGGAGAGACTGAGGCATCAGGAAGTTAAGTAACTTTATCCAAGGTTGCTGGTAGCACTGGGGGTGGGTCATGAGTTGCCTGGCCCCACTAATTCACACACAATGTTCTATTTCCCCTGGATTTGTCCTCTGTCTGTCCTCTCTCCCGGTCACATGAGCTCCTTGGATACAGATATAATGCCTTTTACATGTCCTGTCTGATTCAATCCTTCTCTTTCAGGTGGGGGCAGTGGGGGGACGATGAACTGCTCAGACATTATCTTTTTTCTCTTATGGTAAAAGCCAGCAGTGTAATGAAGTTTCCATTTGTGGTCAAACAGCTTGGTTTCTCAATTATTAAGCTTACATTTCTTATGCCTCTTCACCCCATATTTTTGGAGAAAAACAGACATTTATTACAAGGCATCTCTCGAATGTGATAATCATGGGCAATCTAAATGTCTGCTTTCCCTGAATTGCTTCCTGGAATGAGGTTTCAATGCTGCAGCTATTCTGTAATCACACAGGCTATTTCTGAAGCACAGGGATGCTTTACAGCACTCCCTCCAAGCTGAGCGGTTGGTGCTGCTCTGGTCTCCTGGGGCCAGCATCCCCAGGATAGATGGATAGCAAAGGAGCAAAGCAAAGCCAGCTCAGCCCTTTAGGATATGCACAGCTTCATGCACCTTGGGTTCCCTTCATACCCTCTTTCTTTCCCCTGTCTCCTCCTGTTACATCCTTCCCTTTTTCCTCCTCCTGCTCTGCATTTTTCCCTCTCTCATACGTCCATTCCTTTAATTCAGATATTTTTGAGGCCTGTTCTATACCAGCTCTACACCATGCAGCAGTGGTATGGCAATGAAAACAGCAGGCCACACTTGGAGACCTTGAAATCTCAGTTTTCTCTCTCAGTCCACATTTGCTTATTTCTCTCATTATTGTCAATTAGTAAAATATGTTTTGGCCAAATGAGCATCCTCAGATACTGAGAGAGACAAGGTTAATAATTTCCTGTGGTCATAGTTATCATGAAAAATGAGTCTAATTACCCACCCCTATCAGAGCTTGGGTCATATATATACCAAAGGACATTCATATATCGGTAGTTATATGCTTCATACTATTCATTACAGTTAGTTACAGGATTTTTTTTAATTGAAGTAAAATTTACATACAGTAAAAAATCATGGATATTAAATGCACAATTCAATGACTTTTGATTGGGGTAATCACCACCCCAATCAAAATATAGACATTTCCACAAGCTCAGAAGTTTCCCTCGTGCTTCTTCCGGTCAATCCCCACCTCATTAGGTAGCTACTATTCTGATTTCTTGCAATGGGTTACATTTGTCTATTCTTCAACTTTACATAAATGGATTCACACAGTAGAAATAGGGCTGGCTTCTCTTACTCCATCAACTGTTACATGTGTTTTCAATGCTTTCCTTACCATTACTAAGAAGTATTTTATTGCATTGTATATCACAATTTGTCTATCCATTCACCTATTGATGCATGTTTAAGATGTTTCCAATGTGAAGCTATTATGAATACAGTTACTATAAACATTCTTGTACAAGTGTTTTTGTGTATGTGTTTTCATATATCTGGAGTAAATAGCTAAAGAGAGCATGCCTAGATCAGAAAGTATGTATATATTTAACTTTATAAGAATTGGCTAGTTTTCCAAAGCAGCTCTACTGTTTTACATTCCTGCCAGCAACATATGAGAGTTCCAGTTTCTCCACAGCTTCACCTATTCTTGATGTCTTGAACCTTTTTAATTTTAACCAATCAAATGGGTATATAGTGGCATTTCATTGTAGTTTTAATTTTCATTTCCCTGATGGCTAATGATTTTGAGCATCTTTTAATACATTTATTGGCTATATATATATATATATATGCAGCATGTTTTCAAGTCTACTGATTTTCTTATTCAGTCATTTGTACTTTTATTATTAAGTTATAGTTGCTCTGTGTATATACCTCTCATTTGTCAGATATGTATAGAACATATTTTCCCCAAACTATGGCTTGTAGTTATATTTTATAAATGGCATATTTTAAGTAACAAAAGTTTTTAAATTTTATAAAATCAAATTTTTTCATTGTTCTTTAATAGTCATCCCCAGTAAATGTTCTTTCCACATGAAGACTTTCACATGAATCACTATTTGCCCATGTTTGCCACTATTTCTCCTATGTTTTATTTTTGAAGCTTTATAATTTGAACTTTTACATTGTGGTCTATGATCCATCTTGAGTTACCTTTTGGTGTTGTGTGAGGTAGGGATCAAATCTTATTTTTTCCAAATTTATCCATTTGTTCCACCAGCATTTGTTGAAAAGACTGTTGGAAAGGCTTTCATTCGTTGCAAAGAGTTTCTTTGTTGAAAAGACTGTCATTTTCTTCATTGAATTGCTTTGGTGACTTTGTCAGAAATCAAATGTCTACATGAGTATGGATCTATTTCTAGACTCTCTTTTCTGTTTCATTAGTTTATATGTATGTCCTTATGACAATACCACACTGCCTTTTTTACTGCTTTCCTCTAGTAAACCTTCAAATCAGGTAGTCATTCATTTTTGTTCTTCTTTTTCAATATTATGTTTAATTATTCTAGATCCTTTGTATTGCTATGTAAATTTTGGAAACAACTTTCCAGCTTTAATGAAGTGCCTATTGGCATTCTAACTGTCCCGTTGTCTTGATCTATTAAAGAAGTATTAAAATGTAGCCTATAGCCATCTTCCAGTGATAGCACATCCATTCATTCAACAGAACTTATTGAGTTCCCACTCTGTGCTAGCCCTGGGAATATAAAGTCAAAACAGCATAGTGCCTTCCTTCCTTCTGTGAACATAAAGTCTGGGAAAAGAACAAGGACAGTCTAACCAATGACACAATACAATGTGATAAATGGATAGTACTATGCAAAGAGTACTATGTGATCAAAGAGTAAGGACATCCAAATCAAGGTGATAAGTAAAGATTCCCAGGGTGAAACCAGCTGAGTTTTAAAGGATCAATAGGGCACCAGGTAAAGAAGAGGTTTGAGTGTGGATGGACATTCCAGGGAGCGAGAATAACATTTCCAGCAACAACAAGGCAGAAAACAGCTTGTTATTAAGCAAACCACTATGAAAAACCAAAGACATGGTAGATGATTTTCCTTTCCTTTCGACCAAGTATGTGACCCTGGCTGTTGTAAGTGCCATAAAAGCCCAGAAGAAAATCAAGGATGAAGAGCCAGGCAAGGGAAGAAATAGAATTGCTGCTACCCTATTTCTTTTTTCTTGTGCATTTTCTGGGATGCCTGCCCATGGAATAACCTGAGTACTTGACCTTCAGCTCATCTCCCTTCCTATCCTTACAACATAACTTGGCAAATGGCGGAGCAGGCACAAAAACAGATCTCTACATTCCCAGAACTGTGACCTTTTAAATTTTATTTTTTAGAACAATTTTTTCAAACAGCAATTGAATCCAAATACATAAAAGAGAAAAAGCAGAGCAGCTATTATTAAAGAAAGGTGGTGACTGCAGCCTTGACTATCAACATTCAATTCTCACCTGCCCCACCCCACAACACCGTAACTACTGAGTTTCTTTTGCAAAACCCTAGCATGTCATGAAGCACAATTTGACATCCACCACACCACTTCCACCTGTGATTAAGTCTGGTCACCACCACACTGTAGCTGGGGATTTGTGGTTCACAAAACCTGGAAACGATTTTCTACAGGAAATAATTCTTCTCCTTGCCAAACTTAACGCTAGGCCTTTGATGTTAGTTCGTGTTACCCAACATCAAAATTCATTTCCAATGGTCTTTGAGAAACCATTGTGGACAAAATTAGGTATAAGACTATTTTCTAAAAGAGTTATGGAAATCCTAGCCTTTATGAGGACATAACTTTTAACAATGAAATTTAACGGAATATGATAGGTTTATAACAGAGAAAAGTCATTTCATCATAGCCATATAAAATGCACACAGAGGAGAAAAGTACCCTTGCATATTTTTTTAAAAAGCAGAAAGAAATAGTAACTATACAAAATGTAAAGGTCTGCGCTACAGGAAATTGAAGAATCAAGAAATGTCACATTTCTTTATTTTTCAGTATCAAGTTAGAATCTGCTCATATTCCAATGACCAAAATTAAACAGAAGTCCAGTACGGGTCATGTTTTAGGGCTATTTCTATTCTTTGAATTATACAGGAGAAATAATTTTAAAATCATAGATAATATTATACTATAGATGCTGGTTTAATTTAAAAGTCTTCATTGATTTTCACAGCTTTATTGAGATATAGTTGACAATAAAATGTGCATACTTAATGTACAATTGGATAATGTTGACATGTATATGTACCCATGAAACGAACACTAAAATCAAAATAATGAATATATCCATTGCCCCCAGAAGTTTCCTTATTGTAATTTCTTCCTTAAACCACTCCCTGCTTTGTGTACCATCCCCCATCACTGCTCAGCCTTCTGTCATTATACATTGATTTGTGTTTTCTAGACTTTTACACAAATATAATCATGCAGTATGTACTCCTTGTGAGGCTTCTTTTATGCTTCCTTACTGTATTCTGAGCTTCATCCATGCTGTTTTTTGTTTCAGTAGTTCATTCCTCTTTATTGCTGAGTAGTAGTGTTTCATTGTATGGATGAATCACTATTTGCCCATGTATTTACTTGTGGATGGACATTTAGGCCATTTTCCGTTTTTGCCTCTTACAAATAAAGCCAGAAACTTTAGCTTGGAAGACTTTAGTAAAAGTCTTTGTATAGACGTAAGCTTTTATTTCTCTTAGGTAAATACCTAGGAGTGAGGTGGCTGGGTCATAAGCTAAACATAGGTTTAATTTTTAAGAAACTACCAAACTGTTTCCTAAATTGGATGGGCATTTTACATTCCCACCAGCAGCATATGAGAGTCTAAAGTGTTGCATATCCTCCCGGACACTTCATATGATCAGTCTTTTTAATCTTAGACTTTTAAATAGATGTCCAATGTTACCTTGCTGTGGTTTTGATTTGCATTTCCTTAATGGCTGATGATACTGAGCATCTTTTGTTGTGATTGGCCACCCACGTATTTTCTTTGATGGAATATCTGTTCCAATATTTTTCTCTTGTTTTAAGGTTGTGTTTGTTTTCTTACTATTGAGTTTCAAGGGTTCTTTACATATTCTGGATACAAGTTTTTTCTTTTTAATCAGATAAAGGATTTACAAATATCTTCTTCCACTCTAGTTTTATTTTTTCATTCTCTTCACAGGGCCTTTCAAAGAGCAAAGGTTCTTAATTTTTATGAAGTCTGATTTACAAATTTTTTTATGGATCATGCTTTTCATATTTTATCTAAGGAAACTGCCTAACCTAAGATCACACAATTTTCTCCTTTGCTTCCTTTTAGAAGTTTTATAACCCTAGGTTTTATATTTAGGTCTAAGGTTCATTTTGAGTTCATTTTTACATATGGTGCAAGGTATGAATCAAAGCTCGTATTTTTGCATATGAATATCCAATTGATGCCACCTCATTTTTTGAAATGATTATCCTTTATCCATAAAATTTCCTTTGCAACTTTATCACAAATTAGTTAACTGTATTTGTGTGAGTCTATTTCTGTGTTCTCTATTGTGTCACATTGATCTGTTTGTATTTATACCAAATGGTGTCATGCTACTTAATTTGAAAGTATTACATGTAATTGTACCCAAATTCTATTTAATTTTAAGTTTTATTGAATTTTACTTTAATAGGAAAGAAATTAAATTGCAACAGAAGAAATTATTAAACTTCAAATAAATATTTCTTCACTACAAGAGATATCATTTCTTAACAGGTTTTCCTAAGGTTATTAAAAATTATAAAAACCATTAAAAGAATAAAGTAATTATGTACTTTTAAATTATACTTTAATGTTAGATGGTATCAATTAACTGAGAGACCCACACACTAAAACATTACCATTTTCACTGTTCCTCTCCTCTTTCTCCTATCTTTTTTCTTAGGATGATTATTGTTTTTATATTATCAAGTCTTAAAATTCATCTGTAACTGTAAATCCCAAAGATGCTTAACTTATATAGAGTTTTCTCACCCCTGAATCTGTTATCACAGAGTCTCTGTTCCTGGGTTCTTTGTTTGACTCAGCCCCTAATTATTTTGATATCACTTTCAAGTATTAATAGTTTGGTTATGATAGGTACCATATTCCCTGAAGTACTTCATGTTCGACAATGTGTGTAAAAGGGGGCTGAATGCTTGATTTGATGCTCCACTTGGTCACTGTTGATGTAGAGAAGAGCTAATGATTTGTGTACATTAATCTTGTATCCAGAAACTTTGCTGAATTCTTTTATCAGTCCTAGGAGCTTTCTGGAGGAGTCCTTGGGGTTTTCAAGGTAAACAATCATATCGTCAGCAAACAGTGACAGTTTGACTTCCTCTTTACCTATTTGGATGTCCTTTATTTCTTTCTCTTAACTTATTGCTCTGGCTAGGACTTCCAGTACTATGTTGAAGAGGAGTGGTGACAGTGGGACTCCTTGTCTTATTCCAGTTCTCAGAGGAAATGGCTTTCAACATTTCCTCATTCAGTATTATGTTGGCTGTGGGTTTGTCATAGATGGCTTTTATTACATTAAGGTATGTCCCTTGTATGCTGATTTTGCTGAGAGTTTTAATGATAAAGCAATGTTGGATTTTGTTGAATGCTTTTTCTGAATCTATTGAGATGATCATGTGATTTTTGTTTTTAATTCTGTTTATATGGTGCATCACATTTATTGACTTGTGTATGTTAAACCATGTCCACATTCCTGTTATGAAACCCACTTGATCATGGCGGATTATCTTTTTGATATGTTGTTGGATTCAGTTAGCTAGTATTTTGTGAAAGATTTTAGCATCTGTGTTCATCAAGGATATTGGTCTGTAGTTTCCTTTTTTGGTTATATCCTTTCCTGGTTTTTGTATTAGGGTGATGCTGGCTTCATAGAATGAATTTGGGAGGGTTCCTTCTTTCTCTATCTTGTGGAATAGTGTCAAAAGGATTGGTAGCAATTCTTCCTTGAATGTCTGGTAGAATTCTCCTGTGAATCCGTCTGTTCCTGGACATTTTTTTGTTGATAAGTTTTTAATTACCATTTCAATCTCACTGCTTGTTATTGGTCTGTTCAGGATATCTAATTCTTCCTGACTTAAGCTAGGAGGGTTGTATTTTTCCAGGAATTTATCTGTCTTTTCTAGATTTTATAGTTTATGTGCATTAAGGTGTTCATAGTAGCCTTGAATGATCTTTTGTATTTCAGTGGTGTCAGTTGTAATATCTCCTGTTTCATTTCTTAGTGAGGTTATTTGGATTTTCTCTCTTTTTGGTTAATTTTGCTAATGATCTATCAATTTTATTTATCTTTTTAAATAACCAGCTTTTTGTTTCATTTATCTTTTGTATTTTTGTTTGTTTCAATTTTGTTTAGTTCTGCTCTGATCTTGGTTATTTCTTTTCTCCTGCTGGGTTAGGGTTTTGTTTGTTCTTGTTTCTCCAGTTCCTTGAGGTGTAACCTTAGAATGTCAGTTTGCGCTCCTTTGGTCTTTTTTCTGTAGGCCTTTAGGTCTATGAACTTTCCTCCTAGCACTGCCTTTGCTGTATCCCAGAGGCTTTGATAAGTTGTGTCATTATTGTCATTCAGTTCAAAGAATTTTTTAATTTTCATCTTGATTTTGTTTTTGACCCAATGCTCATTCAGGAGCAGGTTACTTAATTTCCATGTATTTGCATGGTTTTGAAGGTTTCTTTTAGAGTTGCTTTCCAGTTTTATTTCTGTGTGGTCTGAGAGATGGCTTGATATAATTCCAATTTTCTTACATTTATTGAAGCACATTTTATGGCTTATCATATGGTCTATCTTGGAGAAAGTTTTATGCACTGTTGATTAGAATGTGTGTTCTGTGGTTGTTGGATAAAATGTTCTGTATATATCTGTTAAGTCCATTTGTTCCAAGGTATAGTTTAAATCTATTGTTTCTTTGTTGACTTTCTGTCTTGATGACCTGTCTAGTGCTGTCAGTGGAGTACTGAAGTCCTCCACTACTATTGTCTTACTGTCTATCTCATTTCTTAGGTCTATTTGTTATTGTTTTATAAATTTGGGAACTTGAGTGTTCAGTGCACATTTGTTTAGGATTGTGATATTTTCCTGTTGGACAAGGCCTTTTACCATTATATAATGTCCCTCTTTGTCTCTTTTAACTGCTGTTGCTTTAAAGTTTGTTTTGTCTGATATAAGAATAGCTACCCCTGCTCGCTTTTGGTGTCCATTTGCATGAAATACCTTTTTCCACACCTTTACTTTAAGTTTATGTGAGTCCTTATGTGTTAGGTGAGTTTCCTGAAGGCAGCAGACAGTTGGTTGGTGAGTTCTTATCCATTCTTCAGTTCTGTATCTTTTAAATATAGCATTTAGGCCATTTACATTCAATGTTAGTGTTGAAATGTGAGGTACCATTACATTCATCATGCTCTTTGTTGCCTGTGTACTTTGGTTTTTTTGTTTTTTGTTTTTGCTTTTTAACTTGTATTTTTGTTTCATAGGTCCTGTGTGATTTATGCTTTAAAGAAGTTCTGTTTTGATGTGTTTCCAGGATTTGCTTCAAGATTTAGAGCTCCTTTTAGCAGTTCTTGTAGTGGTGGCTTGGTAATGGTGAATTATCTCAGCATTTGTTTGTCTGAAAAAGGCTGTATCTTTCTTTCATATATGATGCTTAGTTTCGCTGGATACAAAATTCTTGGCTGATAATTGTTTTGTTTGAAGAGGCTGAAGATAGGGTTCCAATCCCTTCTAGATTGTAGGGTTTCTGCTGAGAAATTTGCTGTTCATCTGATAGGTTTTCTTTTATAGGTTACCTGATGCTTCTGTCTCACAGCTCTTAAGATTCTTTTCTTTGTCTTAACTTTGGATAACCTAATGACAATGTGCCTAGGCAAAGATCTTTCTGCAATGAATTTCCTGGGTGTTGTTTGTGCTTCTTGTATTTGGATGTCTAGGTCTCTAGCAAGGCCGGGGAAGTATTCCTCAATTATTACCCCAAATACATTTTCCAAGCTTTCAGAATTCTCTTCTTCCTCAGGAACACCGATTATTCTTAGCTTTGGTCATTTAACATAATCCCAGACTTCTTGGTGGCTTTGTTCATATTTTCTTATTCCTTTTCCTTTGTCTTTTTGGACTGGGTTAATTCAAAGAACTTGTCTTTGAGCTCTGAATTTTTTTCTTCTACATGTTCAATTCTATTGCTGAGACTTTCCAGAGCATTTCGCATTCGTAAAAGTGTGTGCAAAGTTTCCTGAATTTTTGCTTGTTTTTTCTTTAAGCTATCTATTTCCTTGAATATTTCTCCCTTCACTTCTTGTATTATTCTTTGGATTTCCTTGCATTGGGCTTCACTTTTCTCTGGTCCCTCCCTGTTTGGCTTAATAACTAACCTCCTTAATTCTTTTTCAGGTAAATCAGGGATTTCTTCTTTGTTTGGATCCATTGCTGGTGAACTAGTGTGATTTTTGGGGGGTGTTGAAGAGCCTTGTTTTGTCATATTACAGTTCCTTCTCATCTGGGTAGGCTCTGTCAGAGGGAAGGTCTAGGGCTGAAGGCTGTTGTTCAGATTATTTTGTCCCATGGGATGTTCCCTTGATGTAGTACTCTCCCCCTTTTCCTATGGATGTGGCTTCCTGTGAGCCAAATTGCAGTGATTGTCTCTCTTCTGGGTCTACCCACCCAGCAAGTCTACCCAGCTCTGGAGTGACACTGGGCATTGTCTGCACAGAATCCTGTGATGTGAGCCATCTCTGGGTCCCTCTCAGCCACCGGAATAGCGCCTATTCCGGTGGAGGTGGCAGGGGGTACAATGGACACTGTTAGGGTTCTTAGCTTTGGTGTTTAATGCTCTATTTTTGTGCTGGTTGGCTCCCTGCCAGGAGGTGGTGCTTTCCAGAGAGCAGTAGCTGTGGTAGTATGGGGAGGAACCAGTGGTGGGCAGGGCCCCAGAACTCCCAAGATTATATGCCCTTTGTCTTCCACTAGCAGGGTAGGTAGGAAAGGACCATCAACTGGGGGCTGGGCTAGGCGTGTCTGAGGTCAGACTCTCCTTGGGCAGGTCTTGCTGCAGCTGCTGTGGGGGATGGGGGTGAGATTTCTAGGTCACTGGAGCTGTGTACCTAAGAGGATTATGGCTGCCTCTGCTGAGTCATGCAGGTTGTCAGGGAAGTTGGGGGAAGCTGGCAGTCACAGGAGTCACCCAGCTGCCATGCAAACCAAAGGGCCAGTCTCACTCCCACCGTGCCCCCCTCAACAGCCCTAAGTCCATTTCCAGGCAGAGGGCAAGATGGCCTTGAAAACCTGACCCGGTCTACCCACCTCCCAGCTGCAAAAGAAAAGGGTTTGGTTCTTCCACACCTGTGGAGTCTGCACACCGGATTTGCACCCTCCCCCAAGTTTTGGCCAGGAGGCTTCTCACCCCATTCAAATTGCTACAAAGTTCAGCTAGAGATTTCCTTCTCCATGTGGAGTTTTATCCTCTGCTCCTCTGTCCACCTTTCTGATGGATCTCTGTGGTGCCAGGCAGGGATGGCCTGCTAGGGGACCTAGCAAGCTCCCAGGGCCTTTCTGCTGCTTCCTCTACCCCTGTATTTCCCTCAGCTCTCCAAGTTGACCCAGCACCAGGTGAAGTCGGAAACTTCTCCCACAAACAGACCTTCAGCTTCTCCAGTGGAGGTTTGTGTTCGGGAGAGGAGGGTCTCCCTTTCCCACTTGCATAGTTGGGACACTCACAGTATTTGGGGGGGTCTCTCGGGTCCTGCAGAAGCAGTCTGCTTCCTTCAGAGAGTCTGTGGTCCTCTCAGGATTGCTGGTTTGTTCTTGCAGTCGACCTGGATCTAAAATTTACAGCACGAGCCTCCACATGCTGCTCTGTCCAGAGCTGCAATCCAGTCCTGCCTCCCATCCACCATGATGATCCAAATCCTTGGGTTCTCTATTTTAAGGACACTAATCATCCTTATGTTGTATCATCTTTGTTTTCCATAACTATGGTACTATTAGAATCTCTCTAAATAATTCATCACTTTGGTTTTTTATTAGTATTTTCTTTGATATCTCAAGTTTTCTTCTATGTCATTAATTTTTATTTTTAATAATATGTATTCTGTTTCTTGCAGTTTATAATTTATTATTAGCTCTGTAATGGTATGATTTGGTCCTCAATTTGTTGCCTTGGTCTGTGATCTCCTAAAAGGTTGTGAGAAAAATGACTTATGCTCCTTAATTTCGTTTTCTTCTATGTATATTTTTTCATGATCTCTCCCTCTCTCTCTTTCTGTCTCTTCCTCTGCATGCAGTTTCTTTTCCCTATATTTATGCTCAAACTTGCATCATTCTTGTCTCTAGACGTTCTATTTGCTGTAATAAATGAAATTCTTCTCAATCTAAGGTTAGTTTGATCTCACTTCTGAACTACAATTTGAGGCCAATGTACCACATTCTATCTACTCTTCAGTACTCTGCAAGAGATTGGAGTGAGGACTACAGTATTAGAAGATGAACAATCTTTGGTATCATGCTTAGGGTCTGCTCTTTCCCTTAAGATTCTCCTACATCTGTCACTCCAGAACCCACCCCCACAACTGGAGGCATATCTCAGTTCCATTGGGGGATACGCTCAGCTTGTATTATTTCCCAATTGTGTTCCAGAATCTCTACCTCTTTTAAGGTGCAGATACTTTTTCACTCGTTTCTCCACAGCAGGTGTTTCCACCATTCTGTTCAGAACAATAAAAAGATCAGCTTTTTTTTTTTTTTTTTTTTTTGAGACAGGATCTCACTCTGTTGCCCAGGCTGGAGTGCAGTGGTACAATCAGCTCACTGCAACCTCTGCCTCCCCGGTTCAAGCGATTCTCCTGCCTCAGCCTCCAGAGTAGCGGGGACTACAGGCATGTGCCACTATGCCCAGCTAGTTTTTGTATTTTTAGTAGAGATGGGGTTTCACCATGTTGGCCAGGCTGGTCTTGAATTCCTGACCTCAAGCAATCTATCTGCCTCATCCTCTCAAAGGGCTGGGATTACATGCCTGGCCAAAAAGATCAGCATTTTGATTATATTTATTACTTTCTAGAATTTAAAATATAAATTAGAAATCTCAGGTTTTTGTTGACTAGCTGGTAAGATGGTTAAGGTTAGGAGCTGAGCCATGTTGCCTCTCTGCTTTACTCCATAGTCCTCATGTTTTGTTGGGACCATGTTTTGAAGTTTATTGCATTATGCTGATAATGACTTTTAGGGGTTTTTGAAATTTTTTTCTAATTTTGTAGGTATTATGGGAGGGCAATTTAGTGTAGCCTTAATGAAGTTGAATAATGCCTCCTGTACGTAGTCCTGGACTTGTATTGTCTACTTGACCACCAGTGACTCAAGACCAAGACACTTTATTCTGCCACTGGTCAAACCCTGAGATCATGAGAGGGTGTTAAAACAGCCAACTGTGGCATGAAAAATGACAAACATGTCCTCCAAACATATCTTGTTGCTTATGAGGGGAGATATTATTTTAACCCTTTACATCTGTCACTAAAAACTTACCTCTTTCATGGCCTGAGCTCCCTAGAAATCAATGTTCTAATTAGAAAACAGTAGCTAATCTGCCCAAATGCTAATAAATGAGGGTTGTGATTTATCTAGCAACAGGGGAACAGCTCAGCATTAACAATTAAAAGGTCTGTAGAGGACAGAGCTTTTTTTCCTTACTCTTCCCCTTAGCTGATTGAGTTCAGCCCTATGCTATAAATAGCCCTTGTAATTAATGGCTATCTGTTTGAAAATCAGTTATCAGGACCACAGTTTAGGAGCCTTTACCTCTGAAATTCATAGAGCCTATTTTATGTCTCAGTGATAAGGGAATGATAATGTGAGTTCAAAGCTAAACCTACCTACCCACAAAGACCAAACCACATCATAGCCTACCAAGGCATTCTTCAATCTTCACGATAATGGATACAGATTTTTAAATAATCAATCCAACTGCAAGGAGAAGTACTGATCTTTAATATAGCCATAATGTTTGGCTAAAGCCTGCTGCACTCCAGTCATTTCATGACTCTATAAGCTAAAGTCAAAATTTATATCAAAGGCATGAGTTTGCAATTAGCTGAGCAAGGTCTTTTAGAGACCCCCAAAGAGTTCATTTTTTCCTACATTGAACAAATTAACTGTGTGGTTCATAAAGTTCTTCTTCACTTTAACCTGACTGGACACAGAGTTAAAGGGGGAAGATAGCATGTCTAAACCAAATTGAATAGTGATCTTCTAGACAACACTCCCCAGAAGGGACCCTCCTTGGGAAATACCACTCAGTGCTAGAGTAAATCTCAAATTTCAGTGAAGGCTTTGTCATTCACAGTAAAAGATGCTTGCACATCTTGCATGTTTTCTTCTAGTATTTTTTTTATTTCGTTCGGTATTGCCTACTTACATAATACCCATGCAGAGCTCCTAGAAGGTCCCAGAGCCTGCCATATTGTTTCATGACACTACACATTTATTAAAACTGTTTCCACTATGTAGATGGCCTTTTCTGGCCAGTTTGCCTGTCATCTCCCTCTATTAGGCCCCCCAGCATCACCACCACCACCCTCCAATCTAACTGATAACTCCCTTCCTCAGGTTCCCACTCTACCTCTACATTTTTCTGTCTTAATACCAGTAATCTTTACATCCACTTGATTGGTTTCTTGACCATCTCTCTCCAGGCATAAGGTCTTATTCTTACTCAAATATACATTTCCTATATGTTTGTTGACTATATAAGTGATTATTGAACAACTACAGAGCATCCAGTCTTTGCTAACACTTGGTAAAACTCAGAAAGACGGAGATTTTTTTTCTTTGTTCCCAATGAATTGATAAACCAGCGGGGAAGACAGACTTCTCTACAACTAGACACAGCAAGTCAAAAAGAGGGGTCTAGGCAGGTGATGAGGCTGAGTTGTTAGTTGGTGAGGCAGCAAACACATAAAAGCTCACCATGTTTTAATGTCTCTTCTGTGATTTTCATAATCAAAACACACATGCTTCAATCATATGTTTCACATTGCTTACTAATGTCTTTGCATTATAACTCAGACCTGTGCTTCTAAACGAATGTGCACACAAATCACCCAGTGATCTTGTTAAAATGCAAATTCTTATTCAAGAGTTCTGGGAGGGGCCTCAGATTCTGAATTCCTAACAAGCTCCCAGGGAATGCCAATATTGCTGATCCATGAATGCCTCAAGTAGCAAGGCTCCACACCATTGTAATGTCAATGTAAACATTGTTGAAATGGCACCAGTTTTTGGAAAAGCTCCTGGACTCCCCACCTAAACTCTTCTGACTGTAATTAAACATGATCAACGTTACACCAAGAGAGGTAGATTCAGCAGTGCCCAGAAAAAAACTGGCAAGATGCCTTGAAACTGTTACCTCTTGGCCTTTGTTTTACTATGTAAACACAAAAGGTCTTTGCTCCTGCACTTTAGGTCTGCTGCTACAAGATGAATGTAGTCTGAAGGTGTGGCAAGTTTTATCCAGATATTCAAGATTGCCTTTCTCTGCTAAAGTCTCTTCCATATTTAAACCATAACATCCCAGGTTCTTTATGGAAACAGAAATACCTTCTAAGAAAACTCTAAAACTTTAATCTGTTTAAACAATCATAAGAAAGAATACTTAAGTGAATTTTACAAAGGGAAAAAGAAGCTCTGGGCCAGGCATGGTGACTTATGCCTGTAATTCCAACTCTTTGGAAGGCTGAGGCAGGAGAATCACTTGAGCCCAGGAGGTCAAGACTAGCCTGGGCAACATAGGGAGACCCTGGCTCTACAAAAAAAATAAATTTAATTAGCCGAGCATACACCTGTAGTCCTAGCTACTCGGGAGCCTGAAGTGGGAGGATCACTTGAGCCTAAGAGTTCGAGGCTACAGTGAACCATGATCGTGCCACTGCATTCCAGCCTGTGTGACAGATCGAGACCTTATCTTAGAAAGAAAGAGAGAGAGAGAGAGAAAAGAAAAGAAAAAAGAAACAAAAACAAAAAACCTCTGTAAGCATCCCATGGGAATCTATTTTCTTAACTCTTAATGATTCCAAGACAACATCTGTTAACTTTTTCAATTCATTAGAGTCTACCACTCAAAATGACAACATCTGTTAACTTTTTCAAGTCGGTAGAGTCTACCACTCAAAATGAAAGTCAAAATCCATTAGACCACTAATTTCTCATTTGTGAGTTTTGAGTTATCTTTCCACCAAGACAAGTTCCCTACTTGAGATTTTATCTTTTGTAGGTCTTCTTCCTCTCTTCCCCACATCATTCTTGAGCACTAACCTAGCCCAAACCAAGTGTCCTATGTATGTCTTCTTCCAATCCGGTAGGTGTCACACTCCTCCTATCTGCCGTTCAACTTTGCCTTGCTATAATATGCGATTTAACAGGCAATCTTGGTTACTTGGTCTCCTCTTGCGTATTTAGTTTTTGCATCTTTTTTTTCTAACAATGTAATGGTAAACCGAACAGAAGTGGAACTCTTTTCACTGGGCACAACATATAGAAGGCAATGGCAGCCATAGCTTGCGCCATGCATAGCCTGGAGTAGACAAACCTAAATGAACTTTCTTCCTTCTCACTTCTCACGGACTCATTTAGGTGAATGCCAAAGATGACGAAGGTGTCCTCGTTGGATCCTGGGACAATATCTATGCCTATGGCGTCCCCCCATCGGCCTGGACTGGAAGCGTTGACATTCTATTGGAATACCGGAGCTCTGAGAATCCAGTCCGGTATGGCCAATGCTGGGTTTTTGCTGGTGTCTTTAACACATGTAAGTATCCAACTGAGTAATTTCTTTTTAATATAAAGGAAACTTCACTCTAAGACATTTTTTCTATAACCTAACAAAGAGACATAGCAGCCCCTGTTGACACTATAGAATTTATGGGTGAGCCATTCTGGGATGTAGTCAATGCATAATTAAATTGTAGTGGGCCAAATATGCTCATAGTTTCTCTTTGACTGCAGAATCTTTATAGAAAGAATGATAGACTATATCCTGTGTAATCCATCACTTAACACCCGAAGAAATAGAGGGTTACAGTAAAAATATAGAGAAAAAAGCCATTTTCTTTTCAGCCACCACATTTTAAAAAAACTAAAACAGTTAAAACTAAAATAATAAATAACAAAAGATATATATTGCTTATTTATCATTGAGAAGTTGTATAAATATGCGTATTTATTTATTATTGAGAATTTTATAAATATATACACTTAATTTTTATCCCAGTTATGGAAGGTATTATAGCAGGTGGTCTCATATTCATTTTTCCACATTTCTCAATGCCCCTGAGCAATTAGAGATCAGAACATAATGAACAATCTTTCCCTCTCCAGTTTCCCCTCTGGTTTTTAATCCACCCAACATCCAATCTGTAGAGGAAAGCATATGAGAACAGAATTATTCTCTTCAGTGTCATGCATCATTTTTCAGAGGCATTTGCCTCTCTAGACCCAGACGATATTACAATTAATTCAGTGAATATTTTTAAAAATACATTTATTTCAGTATGTCTTCATCACTGGTAATGATTTTCATTCACAAGTCATTTCTACAGCCTTGGAGAAACATTAAGCTCAAGTTGGGGTGTCCTTTCTGCCTGCTCATTAATAAAGAATTTTTACCTAGCTAACATTTTTTAAATCAAAAACAAAGGGAGGGGTTGGAGGCTGGAGGGAGGTCATTTAAAAAAATGATTACAAAACCTATTTGTTTTAGCTCAAAGTCTCAACAGTCTAAGACTTGGTGATCTAAATTTAAAAAAAAAAAGTCATGAGTTTTGTTTTGTTTTATTTTCCCATAGTATCAAACAGGATAAGATTATTTTCTTAGCCATTTAAATATAACCCAGGGAAGAAGGAATACATATTTCTTGGGAGCAATGAAAATCAAAAGTATAGTCCCCTAGAAGCACTGGTCTCTGAAGTTCCAGATAGAAGCCGGAACTTCATGGTAGGTTAAAGGTTGGAGGTCATCCCATCCCTCGAGGCTCCCAAACCAAGACAAGGTAAAAGATGCCCAACAGAGGCAACCACTCTTGTGAAATGATTTTAGAAGACAGAAAGGACCCAAGTTCTCCCCATGCCTACAATTTCACTATCCCAGTGTAATTCCTTCCGGCTCACAACAAGATAAAATAGTGAACACCTTACATCCGTTCGTGTCTTTGGCATAAAAAGGTTATCCAATCTATGCCTGAAAACAGGCTTTGGCGGTAAATCAAGAAAAGGCAGAAACACACAGTGGGGAAGTCACAACGAGAGTAAACCTGAAGATGGAAATTGGGGGAAGGAGGAACAGGTGCCCTAAAGTCAAGCCTCACTTTCTTGAAATTATGAGTAAGGCAGAGTCTTGACCAAGTCGTGTCTGGGATAATGTGAATTAGTGTTCAGCCAGAAACAGAATGAGAGTGGCAATCGTTTTATTGATAAGACCCTGGGTGAACAGGGCTGAAAATCAAGAAAGGAAAATGGGAACGGGAGGCCCGTGGCAGCTGCCACTGTTGTTTGGGGCATTAAGATCAAGTCCTTTAAGGAGGGGGACCCTTGAATCTCTACCAGACTCCAGTTTGGACTTCCAAGGTTGTTCTGTTGAAGGAGGTGGGTAGTCTTTGGTTAAAAATGCTAAACTATTCTGAAGGAGAAAATAAAAAGGCAAGCCAAGTCATTAATCTTAAAATTGTCAGCTGAATTATTTTCAATGAGCCCTGATGTCTGGTGTCCTGGGAGGCAGGGAGGGCATTTGGATTAAGTTTAATCAGTAGGTACATATGGCAAGAAAGGTATTCAGATAATTTGTTATCTATTAAAATGAACTAAAATGAATCTGTGGTGTCACCCACCAATGCATGTCACAGGAGCAAATTCTGGCCAAGACAGCAAATTCCACCAAGGACCTACTCTGTAAATTCCTAACTTCCTATTAGTGGGTTTTTAAAATTGTATTTTCGGGAACATAGTCCCATTCATGGGACTAAAATAATACTACGTTGATGATCAAACGCTTAGAAACGAAACAATTAGAACCCTGTTGGGATTCTACTCTAGTTGGCTTCACCTGACACCAGCTGCAATTCTGAAGGATCACACAGCAAGATTTCTCTCTACCGCCCCCATGGGGTTGAATGACCACCCTTTTCCAGCATGGAACATTTGAGAATAACATGTCCAAAGGGCTTTTCATGTTGGGTCAGGAAGAAAGTCCCCTACAAGAAGGGTTTTTTCACTCTGTGTTTATTAAATGCTGGTGATGTGTTTAGCTGTGGTCTGTCCTTTCCTGTAGTTTTACGATGCCTTGGAATACCAGCAAGAATTGTTACCAATTATTTCTCTGCCCATGATAATGATGCCAATTTGCAAATGGACATCTTCCTGGAAGAAGATGGGAACGTGAATTCCAAACTCACCAAGGATTCAGTGTGGTGAGTTTGATTGACAATGGCATTGGCTGATGTCACATTATAGTAATGTTACACATTTACCACAAGATAGACTCAATCTGATGTTTCTGTTCTATTTTGAGGACCATTCAACAGCACAGGCAGAAAACTCTGATTGTCAAAGAATGTTCTAGCAAATGATTAGAAATGTTACTGAAGAGACAGTTTGGGTTCCTAGTGATAAAAATCAATCATTCCTTATAATAGCAACCACCAAAAAAAGGTCATAGTTTTAGCTGCTGCATATGCCTATACTAGTTCCTCTCTACCTTGATATATTAATATTACAGTTAATAGCAGAAGTATTGGAGCCAAGCGTTCTCTGGGTCAGTGCCCTGGGACTAATAGAGCTAACATTTATTTAGTATTTACTATGCATCGGTCTTGGTGTATGCATGATCTTATCCAGTTCTTTTTAGTTGTATCAGGTGGATGTTATTAATATCGCCATTTACAAATGAGGAAACTGAGGCCCAAAAAGGCTTGCTCACGGTCATACATCTGTTGAGCTGGGAATAAACCCAAATGCTTCTGACCATTAACCACAACCTTTTAAATGACTTCAGCAGTATAGGTTTTCTTTTCGAATGTAAAGATGAGATTCTCCTTGATTATATTGTCACCTTTCATTGAGATATAGAAATGGGAGTAAAGCTGAAATTGTTCCCCAAAACCAGCTGTGGGGTTCTCTCACTGCCCTGAACAGCTTTGTTACAAGCTGGCTAGAGGGAACTTAAGATCCCAGGGAAATTCCATTTTTCCTTGAGACCCCCTAAGTCCAAATCAATACACTAAGAAGAAACGAAAAAAATCCTAAGAGTTTAAGTAGGAAGAATTTTTATCAAGGTCTGTGTGGGAGGAAATTGGGGCATAAGTTCCTCTGTGGTCAGGCATTGAGCTAGGTAGAACTTCTAAGCCAAAAATGAGTCTCATGCACAAATAATAAAGCTAAAACACTTTCTGTTATACAAGCATCCAAATGGGGATGGTAGGAAGTTACAAGTTCATTTTAAGCAAAACTAAAAGTTAGAAGTGCCTGAACTTCATGTTACAGGAATGGATCACAGTTGTAGCAGCAGTATTAACTCACCAGTAGGGGCACACATTCATTGGAGAATGTTGAAATGAAATTGCTGAATGAGTAGCAAAGTGCTACCATGAATTAAAAATAGTTCGGTTCATTGGAAGGGAATGAGCTGAGCCATAGTAAGCTGGAGGGCACGTGTAAGACAAAACCTTGTCTCTGTAAATTGAACAGAAATTTAAAGAACACTTTAAGCCTGCAGAATTATAATATAGCAGCCCTGCATGTATATGGGATGACAAAACAGACCAAAATAGTCACCCCAAAAACTCATTGCAATTGTTAAAAATGACAAAAAGATAGTTATTTGGCATTCTCCATATCTCTTCCTTAAAAACACACAGACACACACACACACACACAGACAGACACACAGACACACACACACAGCCTTTGTAGCTAAGTGCAGTTCAAAGTTATCTTTCCCAGCTCCTTGATTCAGGTACCTCCCATCATCAAATAAGTCCCTATGAGGCACTCCTACAAATAACCCCACAGGCCCTAAACAGAGTTAATACAAAATAGCGAAGGTAGATCTTGCCCTTGGTAACCCTGTCCTCATTCAGGTCCCTGCTCCAAATTACTTCCCCTTTTCCTGACACCATTTGTTCCTTTGGTGCCTTACTCAAATATCCCATCACCCTGAGACTGTTCTTCCTGGCCTGGGACCCTCACCCACCCTCCACTGCAGACCACTGCCCGAGACTCCTCTTCCCTTCCTTTGCCTGGCTTGTAGTAGGTTTTCAACGCATGATGCCTGATCAGATGCTCTGACTGACTGCGGGGCTGAGACCAGCACAACTCAGGACGTGCCCAGACCATGAAGCACAGGGATTAAAGGGCTCAGTGGGATCTGAGGCCAAGACTTGGCTCTGCTACTGCCCAAGCTGTGTGACTTTGGGCAAGGCACAACCTCTCTGTGCCTCTTTTCTCCTCTAAAGTGGAGAGAACAATATTCCCTGCTTCACTCATCACAGAGCCGAGCATAACAGGTGCCTAATGAACGTTAGCTGCTATTATTGCCTTCATTATTAGTCACACAGCTGGAATTTCTTAGAGGCAATATGTTTCCATCAACCCAAGTACATCAAAGCGGTCAGAAAAAGAGGGATGCCCAGTGTCCTAAGATGACTGTGCTATTTCTGTTACTTTGGGGTATTTTTAAAGAAAAAGCAGACACTTGGCCTCACCAGTGCAAACACCCATGCACCTTAGAAGTTATAGGTGGTCCAGGAAAACAAGAGTATGGCTAAGACTCTCCTGGATTGAGGAGGTTAGTGCGGGCTGTCCCCAGACAGATCAGCCAGTGCATGATCACCACAGCCACACTCCTATGTCAAGCTCTGGCTTGGGCAGCTACTTGCTGTGTGGCTTTGAGAAAATGACTTCACCTCTCTGAGCTTCATTTTCTTCATCAGTAGAATGAAAGTAATCTTAGTAGTTACCATTTCCCGATGGAGTGACTATAATGATTAAATCAGGTCATCCAGGTAGAGTGCTTACCATAGAGGTAGGCCTGATGCTGATTTAATTATTATTGGTCACTGGTAAGAAGCAGGGGCTGCCTGAGCATAGGGCTGGTGAGGAAGGGTGAGGGTGAGGGTGAGGGTGGAGGCTAAACAGGGGCTGAGGTGGGGGTGGGAATGATTTGCTGGGCATCAGCTGACCTCTGTGAGGTCAGTGCGGTGTAGACTGGCGACACATGGCCTGATGGATTTCCTAGCAAGGATCTCAGGAGCTATTGGCCTCATACTTACCTCCCTCCACAGGCTCTGGTCAAACACACCCACCTCAACCTGTCTTCCCCGCTCCTGGTTGGTTTGTGGCTGGGGCCCCTCTCCTCTCCAAGTAAAGGAGACCTGAGAACAATCTCTCATCCTCCACCATCTATTTCTTCTTCAACACTCAGGTCCCAATGGTCCACAGTTTGTGATGAATCAGTTTGTCCAGTTAGGTCTCAGTGACTCAGGGTGTCCTCTTCTCCATGACTCAGCCAAATCCCAGCCTGCCGAAACCAGAAATCAGCCAGCAGGGAGGCTCAGAGGAAAAGTACAAGAGGGTGTGAGAGGTGTATTCTGCTCGCCACACTCCAGAGCCAGGAGTGACAAGTTTGGCTCTGTCTCTTGCTGTGACCCTTCTCGCCTTACTACTGCAGACCATCAAGGACAGACTGCTTCCTGGTTTGCCACCGTAGGTCCCCTGCATGAAGGATGTTTCCTTCCAAGAGGGAGCCTCACCTCAGGGGGGCTACAGTTTTGCACAGAGCGGCCCCACTGTTGACGCCAACAGAGGCCATGGTCTGAGCTCCTTAGCTGTTCAGGAGAGGGCTGGGGACTCAGGAACCTCAGAAGGGCAGAGCAGGGCAGAGTAATTAGATCCCAGGGTAGCAAATGAAACCCCAAGTGGGCAAATGCAAAGTAGCAGATCCCAGAAGGAGCAATTTCGGCCGCCTGTCCCCAGCGTGCTGATGAGTTCTGAATTATGTGTAACCTCTGGGGGGAAGGCAGCTATGAATCACTGGACAGTTTAATGAAGACGCTTGCTCAATGTTTAGCTGCAGTCCAAACAGCAAATAGAATACGAGGGCTCAGTGAGGAGGGAGTCAGGGCTACTCAGAGGGGCAGGGGGACAGCAATGGTTTGGCCTCACCTTGGAAGAGCTCAGCTTGATCACCTCATTATACAAAGGTCACAGTCAAAATGGAAACAATTTTAAAAGACAGAGACGTTGGCACTTACTAGGATCAAGAAAGATTTTTCAATGAAAGGCTTCGCTCCTTCTAAATGAAGAAGCCTCCCTGTGTTCTTTTGCTGGAGAGAGTGTGGTCTGATAGGATGATTCTGGGTGAGGGTTGGTGTCCTCCTCTCAGCTTTTCCCCACCGGAATGCACCCACCCACAGGGGGAGCAGTGTCTGATCTATTTTATTTTTGTTGTTTTGTCAGCATGTAACAGTGTGCAGGGCATAGAGCAAGCACTGAATAAACAGAATTGCTTGGAAAAAATTTTTAATGCATAAAAACTCCATGCTGCAATGGGTGGTCTTAATCTATAAACAAACCTTTTTCAAAGCACATTTTAGAGCAGAAATTAACCAGCTTTCACACCTGGGACACTGCCCTAATCAGTGTATAATCCTAATTCTCATTATGTCCTCAGTACTCATATGGTGTTTCACACATTGTAGGTGCATTTTTGAAATTGAGATTGTTCTTCTATACATTATTTTATTTTTATTTTTATTTATTTTTATTATTATACTTTAAGTTTTAGGGTACATGTGCACAACGTGCAGGTTAGTAACATATGTATACATGTGCCATGCTGGTGCGCTGCACCCACTAACTCGTCATCCAGCATTAGGTATATCTCCCAGTGCTATCCCTCCCCCCTCCCCCCACCCCACAACAGGCCGCAGAGTGTTATGTTCCCCTTCCTGTGTCCATATGTTCTCATTGTTCAATTCCCACCTATGAGTGAGAATATGCGGTGTTTGGTTTTTTGTTCTTGTGATAGTTTACTGAGAATGATGATTTCCAATTTCATCCATGTCCCTACAAAGGACATGAACTCATCATTTTTTATGGCTGCATAGTATTCCATGGTGTATATGTGCCACATATTCTTAATCCAGTCTATCATTTGTGGACATTTGGGTTGGTTCCAAGTCTTTGCTATTGTGAATAGTGCCGCAATAAACATATGTGTGCATGTGTCTTTATAGCAGCATGATTTATAGTCCTTTGGGTATATACCAAGTAATGGGATGGCTGGGTCAAATGGTATTTCTGGTTCTAGATCCCTGAGGAATCGCCACACTGACTTCCACAATGGTTGAACTAGTTTACAGTGCCACCAATAGTGTAAAAGTGTTCCTATTTCTCCACATCCTCTCCAGCACCTGTTGTTTCCTGACTTTTTAATGATTGCCATTCTAACTGGTGTGAGATGGTATCTCATTGTGGTTTTGTTTTGCATTTCTCTGATGGCCAGTGATGGTGAGCATTTTTTCATGTGTTTTTTGGCTGCATAAATGTCTTCTTTTGAGAAGTGCCTGTTCATGTCCTTTGCCCACTTTTCGATGGGGTTGTTTGTTTTTTTCTTGTAAATTTGTTTGAGTTCATTGTAGATTCTGGATATTAGCCCTTTGTCAGATGAGTAGGTTGCGAAAATTTTCTCCCATTTTGTAGGTTGCCTGTTCACTCTGATGGTAGTTTCTTTTGCTGTGCAGAAGCTCTTGAGTTTCATTAGATCCCATTTGTCAATTTTGGCTTTTGTTGCCATTGCTTTTGGTGTTTTAGACATGAAGTCCTTCCCCATGCCTATGTCCTGAATGGTATTGCCTAGGTTTTCTTCTAGGGTTTTTATGGTTTTAGGTCTAATGTTTAAGTCTTTAATCCATCTTGAATTGATTTTTGTATAAGCTGTAAGGAAGGGATCCAGTTTCAGCTTTCTACATATGGCTAGCCAGTTTTCCCAGCACCATTTATTAAATAGGGAATCCTTTCCCCATTGCTTGTTTTTCTCAGGTTTGTCAAAGATCAGATAGTTGTAGATATGCGGCGTTATTTCTGAGAGCTCTGTTTTGTTCCATTGATCTATATCTCTGTTTTGGTACCAGTACCATCCTGTTTTGGTTACTGTAGCCTTGTAGTATAGTTTGAAGTCAGGTAGTGTGATGCCTCCAGCTTTGTTCTTTTGGCTTAGGATTGACTTGGCGATGCAGGCTCTCTTTTGGTTCCATATGAACTTTCAGGTAGTTTTTTCCAATTCTGTGAAGAAAGTCACTGGTAGCTTGATGGGGATGGCATTGAATCTGTAAATTACCTTGGGCAGTATGGCCATTTTCACGATATTGATTCTTGCTACCCATGCGCATGGAATGTTCTTCCATTTGTTTGTATCCTCTTTTATTTCCTTGAGCAGTGGTTTGTAGTTCTCCCTGAAGAGGTCCTTCACATCCCTTGTAAGTTGGATTCCTAGGTATTTTATTCTCTTTTTAGCAATTGTGAATAGGAGTTCACTCATGATTTGGCTCTCTGTCTGTTGTTGGTGTATAAGAATGTTTGTGATTTTTGTACATTGATTTTGTATCCTGAGACTTTGCTGAAGTTGCTTATCAGCTTAAGGAGCTTTTGGGCTGAGACAGTGGGGTTTTCTAGATATACAATCATGTCGTCTGCAAACAGGGACAATTTGACTTCCTCTTTTCCTAATTGAATACCCTTTATTTCCTTCTCCTGCCTAATTGCCCTGGCCAGAACTTCCAACACTATGTTGAATAGGAGTGGTGAGAGAGGGCATCCCTGTCTGTGCCAGTTTTCAAAGGGAATGCTTCCAGTTTTGGCCCATTCAGTATGATATTGGCTGTGGGTTTGTCATAGATAGCTCTTATTATTTTGAGATACGTCCCATCAATACCTAATTTATTGAGAGTTTTTAGCATGAAGGGTTGTTGAATTTTGTCAAAGGCCTTTTCTGCATCTATTGAGATAATCATGTGGTTTTTGTCTTTGGCTCTGTTTATATGCTGGATTACATTTATTGATTTCCGTATATTGAACCAGCCTTGCATCCCAGGGATGAAGCCCACTTGATCATGGTGGATAAGCTTTTTGATGTGCTGCTGGATTTGGTTTGCCAGTATTTTATTGAGGATTTTTGCATCAATGTTCATCAAGGATATTGGTCTAAAATTCTCTTTTTTTGTTGTGTCTCTACCCGGCTTTGGTATCAGGATGATGCTGGCCTCATAAAATGAGTTAGGGAGGATTCCCTCTTTTTCTATTGATTGGAATAGTTTCAGAAAGAATGGTACCAGTTCCTCCTTGTACCTCTGGTAGAATTCGGCTGTGAATCCATCTGGTCCTGGACTCTTTTTGGTTGGTAAGCTATTGATTATTGCCACAATTTCAGATCCTGTTATTGGTCTATTCAGAGATTCAACTTCTTCCTGGTTTAGTCTTGGGAGAGTGTATGTGTCGAGGAATTTATCCATTTCTTCTAGATTTTCTAGTTTATTTGCATAGAGGTGTTTGTAGTATTCTCTGATGGTAGTTTGTATTTCTGTGGGATCGGTGGTGATATCCCCTTTATCATTTTTTATTGCGTCTATTTGATTCTTCTCTCTTTTTTTCTTTATTAGTCTTGCTAGCGGTCTATCAATTTTGTTGATCCTTTCAAAAAACCAGCTCCTGGATTCATTAATTTTTTGAAGGGTTTTTTGTGTCTCTATTTCCTTCAGTTCTGCTCTGATTTTAGTTATTTATTGCCTTCTGCTAGCTTTTGAATGTGTTTGCTCTTGCTTTTCTAGTTCTTTTAATTGTGATGTTAGGGTGTCAATTTTGGATCTTTCCTGCTTTCTCTTGTGGGCATTTAGTGCTATAAATTTCCCTCTACACACTGCTTTGAATGCGTCCCTGAGATTCTGGTATGTTGTGTCTTTGTTCTTGTTGGTTTCAAAGAACATCTTTATTTCTGCCTTCATTTCGTTATGTACCCAGTAGTCATTCAGGAGCAGGTTGTTCAGTTTCCACGTAGTTGAGCGGTTTTGAGTGAGATTCTTAATCCTGAGTTCTAGTTTGATTGCACTGTGGTCTGAGACATAGTTTGTTATAATTTCTGTTCTTTTACATTTGCTGAGGAGGGCTTTTCTTCCAAGTATGTGGTCAATTTTGGAATAGGTGTGGTGTGGTGCTGAAAAAAATGTATATTCTGTTGATTTGGGGTGGAGAGTTCTGTAGATGTCTATTAGGTCCGCTTGGTGCAGAGCTGAGTTCAATTCCTGGGTATCCTTGTTGACTTTCTGTCTCGTTGATCTGTCTAATGTTGACAGTGGGGTGTTAAAGTCTCCCATTATTAATGTGTGGGAGTCTAAGTCTCTTTGTAGGTCACTCAGGACTTGCTTTATGAATCTGGGTGCTCCTGTATTGGGTGCATATATATTTAGGATAGTTAGCTCTTCTTGTTGAATTGATCCCTTTACCATTATGTAATGGCCTTCTTTGTCTCTTTTGATCTTTGTTGGTTTAAAGTCTGTTTTATCAGAGACTAGGATTGCAACCCCTGCCTTTTTTTGTTTTCCATTTGCTTGGTAGATCTTCCTCCATCCTTTTATTTTGAGCCTATGTGTGTCTCTGCACGTGAGATGGGTTTCCTGAATACAGCACACTGAAGGGTCTTGACTCTTTATCCAATTTGCCAGTCTGTGTCTTTTAATTGGAGCATTTAGTCCATTTACCTTTAAAGTTAATATTGTCATGTGTGAATTTGATCCTGTCATTATGATGTTAGCTGGTTATTTTGCTCGTTAGTTGATGCAGTTTCTTCCTAGTCTCGATGGTCTTTACATTTTGGCATGATTTTGCAGCGGCTGGTACCGGTTGTTCCTTTCCATGTTTAGCGCTTCCTTCAGGAGCTCTTTTAGGGCAGGCCTGGTGGTGACAAAATCTCTCAGCATTTGCTTGTCTGTAAAGTATTTTATTTCTCCTTCACTTATGAAGCTTAGTTTGGCTGGATATGAAATTCGGGGTTGAAAATTCTTTCTTTAAGAATGTTGAATATTGGCCCCCACTCTCTTCTGGCTTGTAGAGTTTCTGCCGAGAGATCCGCTGTTAGTCTGATGGGCTTCCCTTTGAGGGTAACCCGACCTTTCTCTCTGGCTGCCCTTAACATTTTTTCCTTCATTTCAACTTTGGTGAATCTGACAATTATGTGTCTTGGAGTTGCTCGTCTCGAGGAGTATCTTTGTGGTGTTCTCTGTATTTCCTGAATCTGAACGTTGGCCTGCCTTGCTAGATTGGGGAAATTCTCCTGGATAGTATCCTGCAGAGTGTTTTCCAACTTGGTTCCATTCTCCCCGTCACTTTCAGGTACACCAATCAGACGTAGATTTGGTCTTTTCACATAGTCCCATATTTCTTGGAGGCTTTTCTGGTTTCTTTTTATTCTTTTTTCTCTAAACTTCCCTTCTCACTTCATTTCATTCATTTCATCTTCCATCGCTGATACCCTTTCTTCCAGTTGATCGCATCGGCTCCTGAGGCTTCTGCATTCTTCACTTAGTTCTCGAGCCTTGCTTTTCAGCTCCATCAGCTCCTTTAAGCACTTCTCTGTATTGGTTATTCTAGTTATACATTCTTCTAAATTTTTTTCAAAGTTTTCAACTTCTTTGCCTTTGGTTTGAATGTCCTCCCGTAGCTCGGAGCAATTTGATTGTCTGAAGCCTTCTTCTCTCAGCTCGTCAAAGTTATTCTCCATCCAGCTTTGTTCCTTTGCTGGTGAGGAACTGCATTCCTTTGGAGGAGGAGAGGCGCTCTGCTTTTTAGAGTTTCCAGTTTTTCTGCTCTGTTTTTTCCCCATCTTTGTGGTTTTATCTACTTTTGGTCTTTGATGATGGTGATGTACAGATGGGTTTTTGGTGTGGATGTCCTTTCTGTTTGTCAGTTTTCCTTCTAACAGACAGGACCCTCAGCTGCAGATCTGTTGGAGTACCCGGCCGTGTGAGGTGTCAGTGTGCCCCTGCTGGGGGGTGCCTCCCAGTTAGGCTGCTTGGGGGTCAGGGGTCAGGGACCCACTTGAGGAGGCAGTCTGCCCCTTCTCAGATCTCCAGCTGTGTGCTGGGAGAACCACTGCTCTCTTCAAAGCTGTCAGACAGGGACATTTAAGTCTGCAGAGGTTACTGCTGTCTTTTTGTTTGTCTGTGCCCTGCCCCCAGAGGTGGAGCCTACAGAGGCAGGCAGGCCTCCTTGAGCTGTGGTGGGCTCCACCCAGTTCGAGCTTCCTGGCCGCTTTGTTTACCTAAGCAAACCTGGGCAATGGCGGGCGCCCCTCCGCCAGCCTTGCTGCTGCTTTGCTGTTTGATCTCAGACTGCTGTGCTAGCAATCAGCGAGACTCCGTGGGCATAGGACCCTCCGAGCCAGGTGCGGGATATAATCTCCTGGTGTGCCGTTTTTTAAGCCCGTCAGAAAAGCGCAGTATTTGGGTGGGAGTGACCCGATTTTCCAGGTGCTGTCTGTCACCCCTTTCTTTGACTCGGGAAGGGAACTCCCTGACCCCTTGCGCTTCCCGAGTGAGGCAATGCCTCACCCTGCTTTGGCTCGCGCATGGTGCGCGCACCCACTAACCTGCGCCCACTGTCTGGCACTCCCTAGTGAGATGAACCCGGTACCTCAGATGGAAATGCAGAAATCACCCGTCTTCTGTGTCACTCACGCTGGGAGCTGTAGACTGGAGCTGTTCCTATTCGGCCATCTTGGCTCCTCCCCCTAATTATTGTCACTTCTATACATTATTTTAGATGCTGTGTATGACTCATCTAGTTGGACTTTTATATTGTAAAATTATCTTCAATTTTAATCACTGTCTGCAAAGCAGAATGATCTAAAAACGAATTCCAAGTAAAATAGTAGAGAAGAAAAATTCAGAATGTAGACCAAATTGCTTAAAGATGCTTAAGGGTTTGTAAAAATATCCCATGATGCATTGCAGTTGCCAATTCTGGACAGTTATCAGAGATGCTTATTTTCAAACATTTTCTTGTTAACCATATTTCTGGCCAAGTTGGTTTTAGGAAAATCACCTGGAGTTAGACCATGAGCCTTAGCATTAGAGGACTGAGAATATACACTGAAGGCACACAATAGTGTTGGAAAAAACATTATTTGCCACCTTCAAAGAATAAGAGTAGCTCATGTTCACAAAAATACTTTTTTTTGCAATGCCCTGATTTAAGTGCTGACATGTATTAATTTACTTCTACCTCTTAACAGCATGTTAAGGTAATTACTGTTAGTGGCACGGTAACTTAACCAAGGTCCCAGCCAATAAGTGGCAGAACCTGAATTACAAACCCAAGGGGGCTGACCCCAGAGCCCACTCTTTTTAAAATGACATCCTTATTGACTGGGCGTGGTGGCTCACACCTATAATCCCAGCACTTTGGGAGGCCGATGCAGGAGGATCACTTGAGATCAGGAGTTTGAGAACAGCCTGACCAACACGGTGATAACCTGTCTCTACTAAAAATACAAAAAAATTAGCTGGGCGTGGTGGTGCATGCCTGTAATCCCCGCTACTTGGGAGGCTGAGGCAGGAGAATCACTTGAACCTGGGAGACAGAGGTTGCAGTAAGCCAAGATCATGCCACTGTATTCCTCTAGCCTGGGTGACAGAGTGAGACTTGGTCTCAAAAATAAATAAATAAAAATAATTAACATCCTTATTAAAATATGCTTCACGGCCTGGTGAGGTGGCTCACACCTGTAATCCCAGCAATTTAGGAGGCTGAGGCAGGTGGATCACAAGGTCAGGAGATCAAGACCATCCTGGCTAACACAGTAAAAATCCCGTCTCTACTAAAAATACAGAAAAATTAGCCAGGCATTGCAGGCTAACTGTGGCAGGTGCCTGTAGTCCCACATTGCAGGCTAACTGTGGCAGGTGCCTGTAGTCCCAGCTACTCTGGAGGCTGAGGCAGGAGAATGGCATGAACCTGGGAGGTGGAGCTTTCAGTGAGCCGAGATCGTGCCACTGCACTTCAGCCTGGGCGACAGAGCAAGACTGCCTCTAAAAAAAAAAAAGAAATATATATATATATATATATATATCACATGCTACAAAATTTACAAAATTCACTCCTTTAAAGTAAAGTACACAATTCAATAATTTTTAGTATATTTTTATTTATGTATTATTATTATTATTTTGAGACAGGTTGTCTCTCACCCAAGCTGGATTGCAATGGCAAGATCATGACTCACTGCAGCCTTGACCTCCCAGGCTCAAGCAATCTTCCCATCTCAGCTTCCCTAGTAGCTGGGACTACAGGCACACCCACCACACCTGGCTAATTTTTAATTTTTTTTTTTTGTAGAGACAAGATCTCACTATGTTGCCCAGGCTGCTCTTGAACTCCTGGCCTCAAGAGATTCTCCTGCCTCAGCCTCCCAGAGTGCTGGGATTACAGGCATGAGCCACGGCACTAGGCCATTTTTAGTATATTTGTGGTCTTGTATAACCATCATTATCATCAGATTCCAGAACATTTTCTCTCCCCTCTGCCATACCTATTAGCAGTCACTCCCCATTTCTCCAACTCTGGCAACCTCGAATCTACTTTCTCTCTCTATGGATTTGCCAGTTCTGATCATTTCCTATAAGTGGAGTCATGTAATATGTGACCTTTTGTGTCTGGCTTCCTTCACTTAGCGTAACGTGTTCAAGGTTCGTCCGTGTTGTAGCATGTATCAGTACCTCATTCCCTTTCATTGATGAATGATATTTCATTGTGTGGATAAACCAGGTTTTATTTATCCATTCATCAGTTGTACATTTGGGTTGTTTCCATTTTTGGCTTTCATGAATAATGTTGTAATGAACATTCAGGTAAAAGTTTTTATGTGAACATATGTTTTTTATTTCTCATGGGCATATATTTAGAGTGGAATTTCTGGGTTGTATGGTAACTCTATGTTTAATTTCTTTTGATGAAGTGCCAAACTGTTTTCCAAAGCAGCTACTCCATTCTGTATTCCCACTAGCAATACACAAAAGTTCCAACTTCATATTCTTGCAAATAACTTTTATTTTCTGTTTTTTTTTTTTTTTTAATTATTATTGTAGCCATCCTAATGGGTGTGAAGTGGTATTTCATGGTGGGATTAATTTTCATTTCTCTAATGACCAATGACGTTGAACATCTTTTTGTGTTTTTCTTGGCCCTGTGTATATCTTCTTTGGCAAAATGGTTATTCATATTTTTGTCCCATTTTAAAATTGACCTACTTTTGTATTGTTGAATTGTAACTATTCTTTATATGTTCTGCATATAAGCTCTCTATCATATATGTGATTTGTAAATATTTTCTACCATCCATGGGCTCTCTTTTCACTTTCTTAATGGTGTTCTTTGAAGCACTAAAGAAATTAATTTTTATAAAATCCAACTTTTTAATTATTTCTTTGGATGCTTATACATTTGGTGTCATATCTAAGAAACCATAACTTGATCCAAGGTCACAAAGATTTGCTCCTCTGTTTTGTTCTAAGTGTTTTACAATCATAGATCTTACATCTAGGTCTGGGATTCATTTTGAGTTAACTTTTTATGTATGTATGAAGTATAAATAGAAATGGAGAAGAGAGAAAAATAAGAGAGCGAATAAGAGAGAAAACTAAAATCATCTTATTGATTATCTCTTGTACATGGTAAATTATTTTTTTAATGTTGTCTTAAAGATTCTTTGTTTCACTCAGGTCTGAGATTTGAAAAAGAAAAAAAGTAAAAAAGAGATTCTCTATTTGTCTTCAGCTTTTGACAGTTTGAATATGATGTGTCTAAGTGTAGATATCTTAAGTTTATCCTACTTGGAGTTTTTGAACTTTTTCAATGTACATAATAATATCTTTCATTGAATTTGGGAAATTTTTGGCTATCGTTTCTTCAAATATTCTTTCTGCTACTTGCTCTCTTTCCTCTTCTTCTGGGACTCCCATTAGGAAAATGTTAATATACTTCATCAACTGCATAAGTAACATCTCACCTGTTTCTGGGGCTTTGATTTTGTTTTAGTTTTTTGCTTCTGTTATTCAAATTGGATAATTTCAATTGGCCTACCTTCAAGTTCATTGATTCTTCTTTCTGCCTGCTTAACTCTACTGTTGAAACTAGTGAATTTTTCATTTTGGTTATTGTACTTTTCAGTTCCAGAATTTCTATTTGGTTCCTTTTCATAATTTCTATCTTTTCATTCGTATTCTCTATTTGATGAGATATAATTCTCATGGTTTCCCTTCAGTTCTTTGAACATATTTATAATGGCTAATTTAAGATCTTTGTCTTGTAAGTCCAATGTCTTAGCTTTCTTAATACCAATTTCTCTTGGCTGCTTCCTGTGTATGGGCTATACTTTTCTGATCCTTTCTGTGTCTTATAATTTTTGTTGAAAACTGAACATTTAAAATAATATAATGTGGCAATTCTTAAAATCAGATTTCCTGTTCTCTAGCACCTATTGTTGATGTTTGCTGTTGTTGTTGTTTTTGCTGCTGCTGCTCGTTTATTTAGTGACCTTCTTGGACTAATTCTATGAAGTCTGTTTTTCTTGTCATGTATGGCCACTGAAGTGAGCTGAGTTAGCTTAGTGGTCATATAACAATTGGACAGAGATTTCCTTAAATACCTTGGGCCAAAAGCTCCCCAGCTTTAGCCAAGTAGCGTTGTGTGTGTGTTGGGGAAAGTCTTTAATTAACCCGCAGGCAGTTTAAAATTCTTCATTAGCCTTCACTTCCTGTGTGGACAGAGCCTCAAGATCAACCAGAGATGAGAGATGAGGACCTTCCTGGGGCTTTTCTTTTGGGCATGCTCACAGCCCTGCACATGTTTGTGGCTATCTATGTCAGAGTTTTTCAAAGCCTCCTATGGACATCTTATTCCCTGTTTTTTCTTTCAAAGTGTTTTGGATAGCCCTTTTTTAGTCTCAAGTGGTATTGCCCCTTCAGGCATTATGATGTTAAACATTTGCTTCTATTTTATTTTTATACATTATATGAATAGGGCTGATTCAGAATGAGCTGTGAATCAGATCAAATAAAAACAAGCCCTGAGAATGGAGCTTTTCAGAGAGCTGCCAGGCAAGTTAAGCAGTGGCAATTTGGAGAGAAAGAGCTTTCGGAGTGTTCAAAACTCATTTTCTCTCCTTCATTGGTTTCTAGGCTGCAAGTTTGCAAAGCTACTGAGGCTACTGGTTTTTAAGACTACTGTGGAGGTGGGGTGAGAATAAGGCAAATTAAAACTCCACAAAGTCACTCTTCTTACTGAGATTTATGTTTGTTTGTTTTTTTCCTTGAATAAATGCCCCTCAGATTGTTGTTTGCTTCACTTCCAGAGTTCTGGAAAGGTCAGCTGTGATCATATTTGCAAGTGTTCTCATTGCTCTATGGAGGAGCAGATTTCCAGTAGTCCTTACTCTGCCACTCTGGAGGTGTTTCCCAGAGCCCACTCTTAACCACTACACAAGTGCTTCCTACCACACTGCTAAGGTGCTTTACATTTTGTAAGAATATTTTTGGCATCTAGTAGAGTCTTCCTGACATATATCTGCTGAAACACATATTATTGTATGTATATCCTTTTATTTCTCCATTTCTCCCATACATTACGGGGCATGATATTGATCTTTTAGAAAATTATGTATGTAGAAAGCCATCTATGGATTTAGTTTCAGCCTAATGAAGGAATGTAAAAAATATTTGCTTAAAAACAAGAAGGGGGCATTGCTCTTTGAAGGTTGGAAATCACTGCCCTACACTCTCCTCCCGTTCCTCTCAGGTACCCATCCATTCCTGCTGCTGGAATGTCTCCAAAGAGCGCCTGAAGCCCTCATTCCACTCAAGTCTCACTTGAGAGTAAACCAAGGGGAGTTTGGGGGTAAAATGTCAGAGGTCATTGTAATAACTTCTTGGGAAATTAGGCAGAAAGGGAAAAAAAGTGGGAATCATTTAATAAACCACATAGAAAACACTCCATATGGCAATGGAATCATGTTCTGGTTAATCATAATTTTTGCCTACAAGAGTCATCATATATACCGTTAGAAGGTTACTAGTTTTAAAGTAATTAGAAACTAATAAAGTATGCACCGCCTAGGCTATACTGAATGTAATGTAATTCCTTTTGGTAATTAATAATACCTCTAGGAACACGTTACAAAAATAAGAGCCATCAGCTGTAGAATATCATATTCATAAATAGTTTATAATGCAAAACAGTAACTTTGGTACCTACTGGGTCTATTGGTTGGAATTCTTTTAACCCTTTTCAATAATTATGGAGACACTTGTCCAGAATTTATTATATAAACTTTTTTATACATTAGACTTTTACAAACAAATGCTCTCAAAATTCAATATTTTCTTCATGTTCAGTCAGGATATTAATTCCTAGCTTGCTATGCCAGAGTGGTAAAAGGGGGTAGGGCTTCATTTTCAAAATGAACCCAGCAAAGGGAACCCAGAAGTGCTCAGAAAGGGCTTTCTGCTAACTAATGATGGCAAACGTGGTCTGTGTGATGGGGTGGCATCTACTTTCTGAAAATTTTTAATTTTAATTTTTGTTGTTTTCGTTTTGTTTTGTTTTATAACTTGTGTTTTATTTTTGCCAAATTTGGTTTCATTCCCTGCCTGTTCCATTTGGAGGTACTACACTAAAAAAAAAATAATAAAACACGTAATCACACCATGGGGAAAAATGAAAGGAGAAGAAAAAAAGAAAGCTGGATAATCAGCCCCTAATTTTCTAAAAATTGCTATTAACAAAGCTGCTTTACAATTCTCTTGATAAATATCCAAGAAATCTGTTCTTGGAAGCTTAAGAAGAGAGTGGAAAGGCTGTACTCTCAGGACTAAGGAAGGACTCACTCCCTAAAGACTTTGTGGATGGAAATTTGTTCAGTACTCCTGTAGTGTGTATGTGAGTGAGGACATCTGGACTGGTATCTAGCCAGGATGCCCTGGTAGAACTGCATTTAGCGTTGATGTCCTTTCCGATGGGTTGCAACATCCATTTGGTTCATGCCTGTGTCTGAGCACTTATTAATGGTTTTGACTATCACTCCTACTACACATACACCTCATAGTTTAATGGTGGAAGCTACAGCACCTGTCCAAGTGCACCCCGCCATCTGCAACCCCCTCCATTGAGGTCTCTTGTGCTATATCAGACTGTATTTACACGTGACTTCTCAGTGAGACTTGCAAAACCCCTTGCCTTCACAGGACAAGTAAGAATAAACACATTCATTTCTTCTTTTTTCTTGGCGGTCAGTTGATTCCTACAACAGCATCCTTTACTGAGCTGGGATGCCCATGGCGCCCTCCATTTATCTCCCATATAGCATTGCTATGCAAATGAGGCCATTCATGACTGGCTACCCAGGGCTTCCCCAGGTGGCTCCCAGCCAGAGGGATCTGAAGCAGCTGAGCCTCAGAGAGGACAGGGGCCCTGGCCTAGTCTCCACCTGACTGGACTGCTGGCCTTTGACATGACGCCAGTTAACATCCAAATGCCCCTTGCTGGTTTCAGCACTCCAACAGGCTCAAACAATGAATAGCTGTATTCTGAAATAGTGTCATGCTCGCAGCTCCATCAAAGATTCCTGCAGCATGCCTCTTTCCTCTGAATAATTCCTTTCTGTCATCTTCCTTCATTATATTTCCTAACAAGTTTTTTTCTAAGTCCAGGCTTTCATTTCCACTTTGAAATGTCTTGTTAGACAAGCCTCAG
This sequence comes from Homo sapiens, assembly GCF_000001405.40. NCBI lineage: Eukaryota > Metazoa > Chordata > Mammalia > Primates > Hominidae > Homo > Homo sapiens. The sequence goes on along the minus strand of NC_000006.12, from coordinate 6,204,649 downwards.
AGTCCACCAAATTGTTCCCACTTCTTTCCAACAACTCCCACCCCATCCTATCCCCACTGCCCCTGAAATGGCCAGAGCTTAATAATCCAGGATGTCCTGTCATTATTGTCAACAATATTGTTGTCTGTATTCGGAATGTATTAGCAGAACCAGAGAGGTAGGGCTACACCCATCTGCTACAAATACACAAATGATTTGCAAGATAGACAGTGCCTTTCTTTCACCCCCTGCCAGTTTTGCTATGAAAGAATTCAAACCCTTGGTTTACAGTTGAAGTTGGTCCAAGACATCTCCTCCAGGGCTTTCTCTTGATCTTATTTGTGCTCTCCCCTGAGCCCTAATAAAGCTGCACAAACAAAATTACAAGCCCATATCTCTTTCTTCCCTTTTAAGAACTCCTTTTCTCTGAAACATTTCTGGACAGATAGATTGTAAATGAGATGACCCTGTGGACTGTTTAAGCAGTTAGTTAGCCAAGTTAAGGTCAGTAAAGGACTCCTTGTTTAAATTAACCACTTTATTTTCTTCAAACACATAGCACCCTGAAGCCCATGTTGGTCTCAGCTGTGTTCTCTGTCCAGCTCTTCACCACCCCATAGGCTCCTATACCTCTGGATATGACCTTAGCCAGAACCAAGACAGATTTTGAACTACTGTGCTCTACTGGGTTTTGGTAAAATAAATACATAAATAAATAAATAGTCCTCAGTGTTTCGGAGGGAACCTAATACATGTTTATTATGCAGTATTTTAAATGTTGCAGAAAAAATACCAAAGTAAGAAGTATCTATTTTCTAACTACTCAGAACATCTGTAACATTTCCTTAACCCTTCTGTAATATGTCTCTTTGTGTGTCGTATGCATGTTTTTAATGCTGCATACCAAAGTACCAAAGTACCACAACGTAACAGCTTAAAAAAACACAACTTATCATCAGACAATTCCTGTGGGTCAGGAGTTTGGTCACTGGTTGACTGGGTCTCTCTGCTCAGGGTCTCAGATAACTGCAATCGATCAGTGTTGGCTGGGACTGTTGTCCCATCTAATGCTCAGAGTCCTCTTCCAAATTCATTGAGGTTCTTGAAAGAATTCAGTTCCTTGCAGCTGTAGAACTCATAGATGCTTCTATCTTCTTTGAAGCCAGCAGGAGAATGTCTCTGCTGCTTTGAATCCCTGACTTGCTCTGTCTCTGATCTCTAGACCCAGACTTAAAAGGCTCATCTGATGAGGCCAGACCCACCTGATAATCTACCTTTTAATTAACTCAAAGTCAACAGATTAGTAAACTTAATTACTTCTGCAAAATCCTCCTTGACACATAAAGCAACATAGTCACAGGAGTACTAGCCTGTTCTGTTTATAGATTTCACCTACACTCAGGGGAGAAAATTATACAAAATTATGCAAAAGGTAGTGGGAGTCATTTAAAATTCTGCTCTGCATGTGATTTTGAAACACTAATATGCCATGGATGTCTTTCTTGCCTAGTCAATATAGATCTGCATTTTTATGGCTGAATAGCATTCTATTCTGTTTCAAAATACTTGATCACATGTTGGACAGTTAGGCTGCTTCCATGCTTCCACTTTCCCTTTCTTACACCATGATGAACATTCTTACATAACACACTTGTCTTTGCATTTGTATGATTATTTCCCGTGTACAAATTCAAAGCACATGGATTTACTGAATCACAACATAAACTATGACGTCCCATGTAGGGTCCCCCAGCAGGGGATGGTGCTGCTGTTCTAGTGAAGTACTGCCTTTGGTGAAGGTTCTCTGAGTCCTTTGTACCAATACTGCTGAATTATTAGCATCCTTGAAAGGAGTTCTAAAAATTACTAGCTGTCACTGCACGGAACACACAGGAAGAAACATAAAGCAGAGATGTGTTCTTCACTTGTCATCTCCATCGTTATCCTCCCAAAGGTTGTTCTCATCTTGATTAAACAAGTCTCAATGAAATGAGGCCTTTATTTTGATTTCTATACTGCTTCTATAGAAAGAGGCAACAAGGAGATTTAGAATTTTTTTACTTTAAAGGGACACGGTACCTTTTGACTGTATAGTGAGAACTTAAGTTTCAAATGAAGGCTCCGAGAACATAAAAAACCATGAATCTTAAAGAGAAACAAACAAGCAAAGGTTTAATAAGAACTTCCTTGCTAGATGTCCTCATGATTTATTTAGCCAACACTTACTGAGCACCTCCTAATGACTGGGCCCTGCTCTAGTGCTGGAGATGTGTAGAAGAATAAGACCAACAGAGCTCCCAAAGTAGATTTATGCACTCTACAAATGCATGATGGAATTGCAAGATGAAAACAGAAAAACTCTTATGGATCTAGATAAAGAAGCTTTAGAATAAAAAGTAGCATTTCAGGAATCAGTTGGTATTTTCCAACCTGGAGAATCAGTAGATGAAATTAGGAAAAGTCTGTACGGAAGGAATAAGTGTTTGAGATCAAATATACAACATGTTGGCTATAGTTAATTATACTATACTATATATTTCAAAATTGCCAGGAGAGTAAATTTCAAATGTTTGCACCACAAAAATAAATATGGGAGGTAATCGATATGTTATTAACTTAATTATCCTGCAATGTGATTTGATTTTATATATATATGTAAAATCATCACTTTGTACCCTATAATATATACAATTATACAATTATTATGTGTCTATTTAAAAAATTAAAGATATGCTAAAGGAAGTTTTCCAACACAAAGGGAAATGACACTACTGTATATTGAAAATTAGATCCTCTGACACGTATGAATTGCAGCAAAAATGCTAAATATCTGAGAAAAATGCTCACGCCTGTAATCCCAGCACTTTAAAAGACTGGGGCAGGAGGATGGCTTGAGGCCAGGAGTTCAATACCAGCCTGGGCAACATGAGACCCTGTCTCAAGAAAACAAAACAAAACAAAACAAAAAACAGGAAAATAAATGTCTGTAAACATTAGCCTCTTTCATGGAGGAACTTGGGATATAAAAAACTGAGCATGCTTAAATAGAATTGTGTAATGTCAGCCAAATGGAAACTCTTGAGGCACGGGTGGCTTAGGACACAATTCCCCTAGTCATTCCTGAGTAGAGAGGATTGCATGGTGAAAGAGATCCCCATGGCTGTGGAGGTAGCACCCTCTCGTTCTCTTCATGGGCTGTCTGGGAGCTGAGCCATTAGCTTTCCACCCATTGATGGAGGCCCAGCCCTACTGGGAGCATTTGCTTCCTCCCCACCTCACCCACTGCCTGCAAGTTCCTGACCCTGTTATGAAACTCCCACCCTAAATACACAGATAACGTCTCAGCCATGAGTGAAACTAGAAGAGATCATGTGTAACTAATTAGATGTCAGAGTGAGAGAAAAGAAACTTTTCCCCGGGTCCTGGTCATTTGAAAAGAAATATTATCCTCAAAGAAAAGTCTTTACTTGAGATCTGAAGTGCAAAGCATATTTATCTTGTTCCAGGCTAACCTTGCCAAGGATATTTGAATTTAAATAAGGCTATTCTGGAGCCTATTAATCTAGGGTGATGGTGTAGCAGTGAAAGCCAGGGGGTCACTAAACACTTCGGGTCGTATAGGAAGCAGGACGGCGTCCATTCAGGGTTGCAAATGTTTTATTGCTGTTTTTCCCTGGGTCCTTCTGCCTGATGGGGCAACCTTCACTGCTCTGGAGAGAGGCTAGCAGAGTCATTGTCTAACATACACAGTGACCTCCCTTCCAGCTTCCAAGCAAAGATGGAGGCTCTCAGGTGGGAACTGACCTCATGTTCCTGCTCAGAGACCTCCACACCTTCACCCTAATCCACATCTGTACCCTTCTCTCCCTGCAGACCCTGCCTTGCTTCCCACATCTGTCCAGGGTGTTGCTCTCAGCCTCATCCTCTTGCAACCTTGGTATTTCAGCTCCCTTTTATATTCCCACTGTCTCTACCTTCCTCCATTCCTCCATGAACATGCCTCAGTCTCTTTTAATTTGAAAATAACCGAAACAGACTTCCCTGCATTGCATTACATGCTAGCCCCTGCCCTATCTTTTCTTCTGTCTTACAACCTAGATCACTTTTTTTTTTTTTTTTTTAGACAGGGTCTCACTCTGTCTTCCAGGATGGAGTGCAGTGGTGCAATCATGGCTCACTGCAGCCTTGATCTCCCGGGCTCAAGTGATCCTCCCACTCAGCCCCTCAAGTAGCTGAGACTACAGGTCAGCTAACTTCTTTAACTTTAATAGAGACAGGGTTTCGCCATGTTGCCCAGGATGGCCTCAAACTCCTGGGCTCAAGCAGTTCTCCTGCCTCGGCCTCCTAAAATGCTGGGATTACTGGTGTGAGCCACTGTAGCCAGCCTCTAAGTCACTCTTAAGGAAGAAGCTACCTCTTTCTTCCCTCCTCATTCATTTGTCAGCTGGCTTTGCCCAGCCCTCCTCCACCACCCACCAATACTCCCGCAACCTCCTCCTCCGCTTCATCCAATCCAGAGCATCACAAGTGTAGACAAAAATGCCTCTTAGGCCTCACCTCCTGGGTTTCCCACAGGCACTCAAGCTCATCCTGCCCAGAATTGGGCTGGTCATCCACCCATCACCACCAGTCCCAACACAGACTTTCTTCTCTTCCTTTTTTATTCACAGTCTTGGTAAACAAAACCATCATACTACTTGGACAGGCAAAAGTCTTCCCCAACTCATCCGAGTCCCTCACATCTCCCTAAACCTGTGGGTTGTATCCCCAATGGCTTCTCTCCCTCTCCATGGTGCTGGCCACCTGAATGCCTTTCTGGTCCACTATTGCAGTTCTTCAGGGGTGGGGGACAGCCGGGGAGGACTCAGCTCAATCTCCAGCCTTGCCTCTCCATCCATCTTCCACGAACAGAGATTTGCAAATTTAGATCTTCTTCTTAAATTATTCCAATGGCTTTTTATAGCCTAAGAATAAAGCATGAATGTTTAATTTGATATCAAAGGATTTCACAATCTTATCCTTACCTATATCATAGGTCAGTGTTGAAGAGTGTGGATTTCAGAGCTCTATCACTAACTAGCTGTGACCTCAGCAAGGTTCTTAACCTTCCTGGGTTTCAGCTTCCTCCCCTGTAAACTGGGGGTAATTATAATAGTACTGTTCTTTTTTTTTTTTTCTGAGATGGAGTCTCGCTCTGTCGACCAGGCTGGAGTGCGGTGGGGTGATCTCAGCTCACTACTGCAAGCTCCGCCTCCCGGGTTCACGCCATTCTCCTGCCTCAGCCTCCCGAGTAGCTGGGACTACAGGTGCCCGCCACCACGCCCAGCTAATTTTTTTGTATTTTTAGTAGAGACGGGGTTTCACCGTGTTAACCAGGATGGTCTCGATCTCCTGACCTCGTGATCTGCCCGCCTCGGCCTCCCAAAGTGCTGGGATTACAGGCGTGAGCCACTGCGCCCGACCAATAGTACTGTTCTTATAGGGTGCTAGGGACATCAGATGTGTTAACATCCATGAGGGTTTTAGAACACCACTTCGCACTAAGGAAGTGTTATATGTATTTGTTAGTTTCGTGCATTGCCTGCCATCACCGTTCTCCTATGAACCTGAATGTTCAAACACGCTATGCTCCAGCCACAACACACAGCAGACAGTTCCACAAACAAACCATGATGGCTATTTCATGCCGCTGTAACTTTGTTCTTCCTCCTTTTCTTGACCTCCTAAATTCCCATTTATCTTTCGAGCCTCAGCTCAAACATCACTTCCCAAATACCTGGAGACTTTGCTCCACTGAGACTCCATGGCACCCCAAATCAACACCCGTTTTACCAGGGATCATTTAAATTAATTATTTTTCAAAGCCTGAGAGTTACCATTTTTGAGCACTTAACACATGCCAGTCTGTGTTCGAAATACATGTATTAGCTTATTTAAGTCTCACAGCAAACCTATGACAGTTTTGATAATTGGTTTACAGGTTTGTCATTTCTCCTAGAAGATTACCCTTTATGGGTAAGAATCTATGTTTTGATCATCTCTGAGTCTCCAGCACCTACCAAGGTGCCTGGTGTGTAGTGGGTACATAGTGAAATTAATATCTCTTGAACCAATCAAAAATGGGCTGCACTCAGAGAAAGATGGGAGCATGGGCAAACAGCTGACATTGAAGGGCGTCTAGGCACGGAACCCGTGGTAGTTGAACCTGAAATTCATCAGTGTCATAAACAAAGACTGCTGTAACTACCTCACCACATTATTAAATCTTTCTTTATTACTATATGAACATTTTCTATAGTGCTGAGGGGTTAATGTGCTCTCATTTGATTCTGTACTGTCATATAATTTCAGGTCTTTTCAAGGACATAATAATACAATTCATGATGGCATTTTATTCCATGCTCTTGCTTCCAGGGTCATATTCAAATTTCTGAGAAGTTTTCCATGACCCTTAGCACTTTTAATAAAGGGTAAAGAGAGATTCACCCTGACAACGTATTCTTCTTGTTGGACACGAGATGGAAATTGTAGAGAATTATAGTCAGGCATAATTGTTGTAGTTTCTACAGTAATAGTCTAAGACCACAAACACAAGTATTTTTTGCTTAATTGCTACAAAGGAATATGCTTTTTCTAAATAGGAACTATATTAAAAAGTTCAAAATAAATATTTCAGTTTTGGTTAACTTTTCTTCCCCACCCTGTCGGTACCTAGTAAGTTGTTTCGTTAGTCAGCAGAAAATGGTTAAGATTAAAACTGTTCAATGCACTGATTCAAATATCTTTGGGTGGCCTTGAAGCTGCTCTTAGCAGAGGGAAAGAGACATCCAGCCATGTGAGTGTCCTGAGGGATGCCAATGAGAATGAATCTGCCCAGAAAACCCAAGTCTAGAGCCCCAGGATATCTCCAGGAGCCCTCAGATTTGGCTTAATCCATTCTAATAATCTGTAGATAGCATATGCACAGGATTTGGGGTCACTTTTTTTTTTTTTTGAGATGGAGTCTCCCTCTGTCACCAGGCTGAAGTGCAGTGGCACAATCTCAGCTCACTGTAACCTCCATATCCCAGATTCAAGCGATTCTCCTGCCTCAGCCTCCCAAGTAGCTGGAACTACAGGCACCCGCCACCACACCCAGCTAATTTTTGTATTTTTAGTAGAGACAGGGTTTCATCATGTTGGCAAGGCTGGTCTTGATGTCTTGACCTTGTGACTCACCTGCCTTGGCCTCCCAAATTGCTGGGATTACAGGCATGAGCCACTGTGCCTGGCCGTCACTTCTTGATCTCTTGGAGCATTGGGTGTGATGGGAAGTTTAACCTTTCTGGGCTTGTGTTTTCTAAGGAACTACCACTGCTGGAATGAAGCATGGATGACAAGGCCTGACCTTCCTGTTGGATTTGGAGGCTGGCAAGCTGTGGACAGCACCCCCCAGGAAAATAGCGATGGTAAAACTGTGTCCTCCCTCTGGGAACTTGCTTCATTGCTGATCTTTGTTTTGCTTTTATGCTTGCATTTGATGTGTGGGAACCACGCCCATTGGGAGGCAACATCTGAAGTGTGCTTCCTGGGCACATGTACAGTATTAGCTACCTTCCAATCAGGTTTAATTTCATTTCCATTGTCAGCTTTACCCTGATTATTTTACAGATTTTAGAGAAAGAATATAAAACAACGTATAATTCATCCATTCTTGCTTTGCTAAGCAGTTTTGAAGACAGGAGAGAAAATATCTGTAAGCATTTTTACTAGGCTATAAAATATACTTCAGCCCTTTGTGGTATGCACTGGTAAGATATAAGGCAGGAGAGAAAATAGAGAACTCGAAAAATAATTATAGATCATCCTTTAAATTGTTTTTCCAGAACCTGGCCTCCTTTTATGTCATGTGATTTCCTCCAAAGCTTCAGTATGTGGGTATTTGTCTTCTAACTTGCCAACTATGCTAAGCAGCTGCAGCTCTGACCTCCCCCAGATTTTTATAAAATCACATCATAAGCCTCCATCTCTCTTTAATATGATAATATAAAGAATCAGTAGACTGTGGATATTATGTTTATTTCCTCAGGTGTTGATATATCGATGGGCACACACAGGAACATGCATAAACATTCAATGGATATTCATACTGAAACCATATTATAATCCTAGGCTTTAAGGAAGAAAGTTTAGCACTTTCTGGTGTTCTGGTATATATATCATGGGGACATTTTACAGGTGACTAATAGCAGCTAATCTCTTATTAACTATATAGATAGGTGGTTAAAATTTAAAGCATTTTAGAAGAGTAACATAGGCCCTCTGACTTCCTAAATGCATGGTGGGCATGGCCAAAATGCACAGGCAATGTCCAAATTCTCCAGTTAAACTTGACATATGTTCATAATGTCCAAAAACAAAAGACAAAAAGCAAAACAAACAGCAACAGCAGCACAACCACAGAGCACACATCAACATTTCCAACATTTCAGATACCACCTGAACAAGAGATAAATGCTGTGTAAGCCACCTGCTTGGCATCAACACATCTGGGTATGTGTCTGTAGGTGGCAGAGTAGATGCAGGAATAGTGTTGCCTTGTATTTATTTCCATGGCTTCAATTTTTGGCTTGAGGGGGCATAGCCAATGGAATTCTCTTCAGCCTTGGAAAGCATCTGGGCTAAATCAGCAATGAAGTTGGGAACACTGGTCTTTACAGAGTCACCCTCAGTGCCATGAATCTTGCAGTATCTGGACAGAATTGGAGATGACAAACTCACACCGCCCTTCCTCTGTGCAATGCAGGCATGTATCGGTGTGGCCCCGCCTCGGTTCAAGCCATCAAGCACGGCCATGTCTGCTTCCAATTTGATGCACCTTTTGTTTTTGCAGAGGTAAGCAGGAAGCTGGAGGAAAGTGCTGTTTTTCTCCCCAACCTCTTAACACATGAAAGAGTAAGCTAAAAGTTGTTGTTTCTAAGTTTTCCAGGTACATAGCGTATGCTTCGTGTTGACAAAGGTAACTAGGCATTATTCCAACTTCCAGGCTATTAATGCTAAATGCAGTTCTTGTTTAACATTTTTCTTTCCTTGATGTTTTGGGATTCCCTACTCCCAAAAGTAAATGCTTTACTAACATTAGCTTAGTTCTCTGCACCCATTAAGTATCAACTGCTCCAGAGAAATTATATGACTAATGGATCTCTCAACTAACCTCATTGGAAGAGATGGGTCATGAATTGAAATTTCAGGACATGCCACTTCCCTCTGGGACTAGTCCAGCAATCCAGGTAAGACAAAATCCACATACACACACCCAACCATGGTCTTACCCTGGCCTTTGCAATCTATGTCCTGCCATCCCACACCATCACCTGTGGCCAGGGAGGGAGGGTTGAGTTGCCAAAGGAGGAAGGGGAGCCTGGAGGCTACTCTAAGAGAGGAATACAGCCCACCTACAGGGTTGATGGGAATGCCTGGGCAAAGGCTCTGCCATTTCAGAAGAACTAGGCAGGGACTGGAAGCAGAACAGGCTGTTAAAGGATACTCAAGGAGAGCTCTGAAAATCAAATTAAATGTAAGAGATGTTGGGTAAACGAGAAGGCTGGGCTGCCGGCCTAGGAAGACTTGAAAGACTGAGAGGCAGGACTTCCCCAGGGTATATTTGCACCAGTAAATACACTGAAATAATGTCTTTCACTTTGCCTACCATTGGATGCTCTTAGCAACCTTCTAAAATTGATAATTCTTCCCATTTTACAGAAAATAAAATCGAGGCAAAGAGTGATTAAGTGACTTTCTCACAACCATCTAGCTAATAAATAGCAGTGCTAAGATTTGAAGCCAGGCAGATACCTGAATGCATACTGGTAACCATTGCACTCTAGTACTCCAGGAGGAACAAATAGTTATTATTAATGTACACCAGGCATTGTACTGGGGGGAATTCTAAGGTTCAAGTCTTTAAGAAACGTATTTCTAGATGCCAGGTGACAGGGCACAAACACACTGAACATGAAATAACAACAATACTTGTCAGGTGGGCCATGTAGAGAGCACAGATCTGCATTCATATGATGCATGAGTTGGGAAGTAGAGGCCAAGAACTGAAGCAGGATGGCAAAGACCACAAGACACCATCTAGGAAGGAAGGGCGACCTGGGAACAGACAGTGAGGATGCCTGTGGAAGTGTCCCCAGGTAGTAAGAGCAGAGAACTGTGGGACCACATGGGAAGGAGGGATGATTAGGCAAAATGATTAGAAAGAAGCCAGAGGAAGGGAGGAGTGCAAAGCAGGGGGATGAGTTGAGCATCTGAAAGCTTTGTGGGGGCAGTTGAAAGCTGTGCAGACTCACTAGAACGCCAAGGATGCATCAGGGGTGTTGGAAGGTGGAGGCTGAAGGAACGCAGTGCAGAGGACCTCCCTGAGAGACTTGCTCCTTGTCCCTCCTGTAAGTGAGGGAGAGTTTTCACTGGGTGGGAACTTGGGCAAGGTGCTGACAGCCTTGTGGAACACGGATTGGAGGGGTTGTTATGAAGTTGTGGGGAACATCTAGAGGGCTGGTCATCCCTCCAAGCCAGAGATGGAAAGGGCATGAGCTAGACAAATGGCAATAATGAGGAAAAGAGGAGGCAGGACTGAGAAATGTTAATATTTAGAAAGCAAAACGAACATCAAAATTCAGACAGCAAGATCAGGAATTTGAAACACACAAAAGACCAGTGTTCATCTCATCGTACCTGCCGTGGCAGTTTACAGAAGCCTTTGGAGACCAAGCTTACTGGACTTGGAATTTTATCCCCTCGTTTTCACTTTGGGATTTGAAGATTTCCACAAACCTCCCAGCTGTCATTTGATAGTTTATGATGCTACGAGAGCCCCTAATGAGGAGATCACTCTGAAATCCACAAAGCCTTGTTTTCAGCTTTTTATTACACTTTATTGCTGCAAAGAAGGAGAAGGAGGACCTCCCTCCACAAGCAAGCTGCCTAATAGCTGTAAATGCAAACACTTTTTGCTATTATTAAATATAGATCGGGGTGTTATGAATGTCATCAGGATTTGCAGATTATAATTACTCCTTTCTCACCCACTGCAGAGGCGTGTCTGACAGAGGGTACAATTTGTTGCTTTGGCATGGGCTGCGCTCCAGGGGCTGAGCCATTTTTAAGAGATGTTTGAGTTGATGAAAAGTGTATGAGGAATCTTTTCTCAAGGGTGCCTGCAGTGGGACCCCATGGGGAGTGTCATATGAGTCGATATGACTCAGGTTCGAGTCTGTGGCTCTCTCTGCTCTCCCTCGTCCTTGCTGCATCAGCTCGCCTTCTCTTCCCTCCCAGCATGCTGACTTTCTTGGTCATTCCTTACTCATTTCCAGGCTTGATCAAGCATCATGTTCATTGACTGTTTTTTAGTGTTCCCAGGGCCTTAGTCTCCATGAGTGAAAGCAGAGCCTAAAAAGAAGAGGGGTATGCCTGGAAAATGTCTTACCTTCTGTTCCTTTTTTCTCTCCTCCTCCACTTTGGAAGTTCACCCTCCACATTTCTGGGTTTCTGCCAGGGCTTGAAGCTTATTTCTCTTACCCCTCCCTTCCCATGTCCTCCCTGCTGCAGTGGGTTCCTGTGGATCTGAAGCCCCATCTGCCTATCTCCCCAGCTTATGGTGGCCTAGGGCTTCCAAATAGGTGAGAGGAGATGAGAGCTGTTCTAAGCGTCTGGAGTCGTATTCCAAGATTCCATGTTCACGAAGCCCTCAGGGGTTCTTAGTGAAGAACTCTCTCCTTCTTGCCAAAGATAACTCTCTTCTGTCCTAACTTCTCATTAACTCTGCTGCCCTCTTTCACACCACTCCACCCCAAACTCACTCACATACACACACACATGCATGCACACACTCCTGCCTGCCCTCACTGGCGCTGAGATGATTTTGACAGGAGCAATAACTGGCTCCCTGGGACCACAGCAACCATCTCATCACTCAAGAAGCTAAGCCCTCCTCTGCTGTGGGCCAGCAGTTCTCTTATACAACGTGTGGAGATGTTTTCCTGTAGATTATTCATTCTCAATTCAAACTTATTTATTTTGCTACTATCTTATCAGATGCAGCCTATTTTTTTGGCATCTCCTACTTGGCTATAAAATAATCCAGTCATTTATTCAAATAGCATACAAAACTTTGGAATTATTTTAGCTTTCCTTCTTAACCTCCCTTATGCATCTTGCCAAAAATACCTTCCCAAAATTATCATAAATCCAGCCACTTCTACAATCTCTATCGTTACCCTCTGAGCTCTGTACAACACTGAGCTCCATAAAGTTACCTCCTAACTCCTCCTAACTCATCTCCCTGATCCCCCTCTTGCTCCTTTTCTGTCTATTCCCCACAGAGCAAGAGAATTATTCTTTAAATGTAAATACAAACATCACACTCCTGCCCCAACCCTTCTGGTGGAGTTCCACCACCCTTACAATAAAACTGAACATAAATTCCTACAAGATTCCATGGCTTCCCTTCCACTTCATCCCTTGTTTATTTCCCTCCAGCCATACTGAGATTTTTCTCTTCAGAAAGCATCCACACATCCTCTTGTGTCAGCACTTTTAGACATACTGCTCCTTTTGCTAGGAAAGCTCCCCTCACTATCTTTCACTCTGTGTAGGAAGAATGCTTTGCATGCTTTGTTCCCTCTCTGCATTCAAGTCTCTGCTCTGGTCACCTCTTCAAAGAGGCCTTCGCTCACCCAACTGCACCTAAAATATCACCATCTGCCCTGTTGTTTTCATCCTCCAACCTTAGTGTGTACTCCATTTCTCCCTTCTAGAATATGAGCTCCATGAAGGTAGAAGCTCTTGTAACCGCATTGCTGAGAGCAGGATCTAGGGTCCAGTGCCAGGAAGGCATTCACTGCCTCCATATGCCCTCTGAGAAGCAGCATTTTCTCTGCAGAGCCTGCAGACAAGGTTATCTCCACTTGGAAACAAATAAACAAACCAAAGCAAACTCTGTCCAGGGTCCTGAAAGCAAGAGCACGTCTCTAGCCTCAGTGGTGAAGAGCATATCTTCTGCCACCTGTGGACAAATGTTCACATTCTATGGGCCCAGGTGGACATTTGCAGAGAGCAGCCCCCAAGCCTGCTTTCCACCCCACCTTTACTGAGAAGCTAGGGCCCTGACCAATGGTAGAGGCTACTATGTAGGAAGTGCCTGTACTTAAGAGGCAAGGGTGTGGTGTTGTGAAAAAAATATCCAATTTCATGCACCAATGCCCAGATTTTGTGTGATGATAACCCTTCAAGTGTAGGGATAGAAAAAGGGGATCACTAACATTACATTCAAAAGAAGGAAGAAAAATTAGCCGTAAATGTAGGGCTTTCACAAGTAGTACCAATCTATCCACCAGCCCGACAAGGAAGGTAGGCTCAGAGAGATTCAGTAACTCGGAGGGAGGAGCCAAGATGGCTGAATAGGAACAGCTCCAGTCTACAGCTCCCAGCATGAGTGACGCAGAAGACTGGTGATTTCTGCATTTCCATCTGAGGTACCGGGTTCATCTCACTAGGGAGTGCCAGACAGTGGGCACAGGTCAGTGGGTGCACGCACCGTGCGCGAGCCAAAGCAGGGTGAGGCATTGCCTCACTCGGGAAGCACAAGGGGTCAGGGAGTTCCCTTTCCTAGTCAAAGAAAGGGGTGACGGATGGCACCTGGAAAATCGGGTCACTCACACCCAAATACTGCGCTTTTCCGACGGGCTTAAAAAACGGCGCACCACGAGATTATATCCCGCACCTGGCTCGGAGGGTCCTACGCCCACGGAGTCTCGCTGATTGCTAGCACAGCAGTCTGAGATCAAACTGCAAGGCGGCAGCGAGGCTGGGGGAGGGGCGCCCACCATTGCCCAGGCTTGCTTAGGTAAACAAAGCAGCCAGGAAGCTCGAACTGGGTGGAGCCCACCACAGCTCAAGGAGGCCTGCCTGCCTCTGTAGGCTCCACCTCTGGGGGCAGGGCACAGACAAACAAAAAGACAGCAGTAACCTCTGCAGACTTAAATGTCCCTGTCTGACAGCTTTGAAGAGAGCACTGGTTCTCCCAGCATGCAGCTGGAGATCTGAGAAGGGGCAGACTGCCTCCTCAAGTGGGTCCCTGACCCCTGACCCCCGAGCAGCCTAACTGGGAGGCACCCCCCAGCAGGGGAACACTGACACCTTACACAGCAGGGTATTCCAACAGACCTGCAGCTGAGGGTCCTGTCTGTTAGAAGGAAAACTAACAAACAGAAAGGACATCCACACCAAAAACCCATCTGTACATCACCATCATCAAAGACCAAAAGTAGATAAAACCACAAGGATGGGGAAAAAACAGAGCAGAAAAACTGGAAACTCTAGAAAGAAGAGCGCCTCTCCTCCTCCAAAGGAACGCAGTTCCTCACCAGCAAAGGAACAAAGCTGGACGGAGAACGACTTTGACGAGCTGAGAGAAGAAGGCTTCAGACGATCAAATTACTCTGAGCTACGGGAGGACATTCAAACCAAAGGCAAAGAAGTTGAAAACTTTGAAAAAAATTTAGAAGAATGTATAACTAGAATAACCAATACAGAGAAGTGCTTAAAGGAGCTGATGGAGCTGAAAAGCAAGGCTCAAGACCTACGTGAAGAATGCAGAAGCCTCAGGAGCCGATGCGATCAACTGGAAGAAAGGGTATCAGCGATGGAAAATGAAATGAAAGAAATGAAGCAAGATGGGAAGTTTAGAGAAAAAAGAATAAAAAGAAACCAGAAAAGCCTCCAAGAAATATGGGACTATGTGAAAAGACCAAATCTACGTCTCACTGGTGTACCTGAAAGTGATGGGGAGAATGGAACCAAGTTGGAAAACACTCTGCAGGATATTATCCAGGAGAACTTCCCCAATCTAGCAAGGCAGGCCAACATTCAGATTCAGGAAATACAGAGAACGCCACAAAGATACTCCTCGAGAAGAGCAACTCCAAGACACATAATTGTCAGATTCACCAAAGTTGAAATGAAGGAAAAAATGTTAAGGGCAGCCAGAGAGAAAGGTCGGGTTACCCTGAAAGGGAAGCCCATCAGACTAACAGCGGATCTCTCGGCAGAAACTCTACAAGCCAGAAGAGAGTGGGGGCCAATATTCAACATTCTTAAAGAAAAGAATTTTCAACCCAGAATTTCATATTCAGCCAAACTAAGCTTCATAAGTGAAGGAGAAATAAAATACTTTACAGACAAGCAAATGCTGAGAGATTTTGTCACCACCAGGCCTGCCCTAAAAGAGCTCCTGAAGGAAGCGCTAAACATGGAAAGGAACAACCGGTACCAGCCGCTGCAAAATCATGCCAAAATGTAAAGACCATCGAGACTAGGAAGAAACTGCATCAACTAACGAGCAAAATAACCAGCTAACATCATAATGACAGGATCAAATTCACACATGACAATATTAACTTTAAAGGTAAATGGACTAAATGCTCCAATTAAAAGACACAGACTGGCAAATTGGATAAAGAGTCAAGACCCTTCAGTGTGCTGTATTCAGGAAACCCATCTCACATGCAGAGACACACATAGGCTCAAAATAAAAGGATGGAGGAAGATCTACCAAGCAAATGGAAAACAAAAAAAGGCAGGGGTTGCAATCCTAGTCTCTGATAAAACAGACTTTAAACCAACAAAGATCAAAAGAGACAAAGAAGGCCATTACATAATGGTAAAGGGATCAATTCAACAAGAAGAGCTAACTATCCTAAATATATATGCACCCAATACAGGAGCACCCAGATTCATAAAGCAAGTTCTTAGAGACCTACAAAGAGACTTAGATTCCCACACATTAATAATGGGAGACTTTAACACCCCACTGTCAACATTAGACAGATCAACGAGACAGAAAGTCAACAAGGATACCCAGGAATTGAACTCAGCTCTGCACCAAGCGGACCTAATAGACATCTACAGAACTCTCCACCCCAAATCAACAGAATATACATTTTTTTCAGCACCACACCACACCTATTCCAAAATTGACCACATACTTGGAAGTAAAGCTCTCCTCAGCAAATGTAAAAGAACACAAATTATAACAAACTATCTCTCAGACCACAGTGCAATCAAACTAGAACTCAGGATTAAGAATCTCACTCAAAACCGCTCAACTACGTGGAAACTGAACAACCTGCTCCTGAATGACTACTGGGTACATAACGAAATGAAGGCAGAAATAAAGATGTTCTTTGAAACCAACGAGAACAAAGACACAACATACCAGAATCTCTGGGACACATTCAAAGCAGTGTGTAGAGGGAAATTTATAGCACTAAATGCCCACAAGAGAAAGCAGGAAAGATCCAAAATTGACACCCTAACATCACAATTAAAAGAACTAGAAAAGCAAGAGCAAACACATTCAAAAGCTAGCAGAAGGCAAGAAATAACTAAAATCAGAGCAGAACTGAAGGAATACAGACACAAAAAACCCTTCAAAAAATTAGTGAATCCAGGAGCTGGTTTTTTGAAAGAATCAACAAAACTGATAGACCGCAAGCAAGACCAATAAAGAAAAAAAGAGAGAAGAATCAAATAGACACAATAAAAAATGATAAAGGGGATATCACCACCGATCCCACAGAAATACAAAGTACCATCAGAGAGTACTACAAACACCTCTATGCAAATAAACTAGAAAATATAGAAGAAATGGATAAATTCCTCGACACATACACTCTCCCAAGACTAAACCAGGAAGAAGTTGAATCTCTGAATAGACCAATAACAGGATCTGAAATTGTGGCAATAATCAATAGCTTACCAACCAAAAAGAGTCCAGGACCAGATGGATTCACAGCCGAATTCTACCAGAGGTACAAGGAGGAACTGGTACCATTCCTTCTGAAACTATTCCAATCAATAGAAAAAGAGGGAATCCTCCCTAACTCATTTTATGAGGCCAGCATCATTCTGATACCAAAGCCAGGCAGAGACACAACAAAAAAAAGAGAATTTTAGACCAATATCCTTGATGAACATTGATGCAAAAATCCTCAATAAAATACTGGCAAACCAAATCCAGCAGCACATCAAAAAGCTTATTCACCATGATCAAGTGGGCTTCATCCCTGGGATGCAAGGCTGGTTCAATATACGCAAATCAATAAATGTAATCCAGCATATAAACAGAGCCAAAGACAAAAACCACATGATTATCTCAATAGATGCAGAAAAAGCCTTTGACAAAATTCAACAACCCTTCATGCTAAAAACTCTCAATAAATTAGGTATTGATGGGACGTATTTCAAAATAATAAGAGCTATCTATGACAAACCCACAGCCAATATCATACTGAATGGGCAAAAACTGGAAGCATTCCCTTTGAAAACTGGCACAAGACAGGGATGCCCTCTCTCACCACTCCTATTCAACATAGTGTTGGAAATTCTGGCCAGGGCAATTAGGCAGAAGGAAATAAAGGGTATTCAATTAGGAAAAGAGGAAGTGAAATTGTCCCTGTTTGCAGATGACATGATTGTATATCTAGAAAACCCCATTGTCTCAGCCCAAAAGCTCCTTAAGCTGATAAGCAACTTCAGCAAAGTCTCAGGATACAAAATCAATGTACAAAAATCACAAGCATTCTTATACACCAACAACAGACAAACAGAGAGCCAAATCATGAGTGAACTCCCATTCACAATTGCTTCAAAGAGAATAAAATACCTAGGAATCCAACTTACAAGGGATGTGAAGGACCTCTTCAAGGAGAACTACAAACCACTGCTCAAGGAAATAAAAGAGGATACAAACAAATGGAAGAATATTCCATGCTCATGGGTAGGAAGAATCAATATCGTGAAAATGGCCATACTGCCCAAGGTAATTTACAGATTCAATGCCATCCCCATCAAGCTACCAGTGACTTTCTTCACAGAATTGGAAAAAACTACTTTAAAGTTCATATGGAAGCAAAAAAAGAGCCTGCATCACCAAGTCAATCCTAAGCCAAAAGAACAAAGCTGGAGGCATCACACTACCTGACTTCAAACTATACTACAAGGCTACGGTCACCAAAACAGCATGGTACTGGTACCAAAATAGAGATATAGATCAATGGAACAGAACAGAGTCCTCAGAAATAATGCCGCATATCTACAACTATCTGATCTTTGACAAACCTGACAAAAACAAGCAATGGGGAAAGGATTCCCTATTTAATAAATGGTGCTGGGAAAACTGGCTAGCCATAGGTGGAAAGCTGAAACTGGATCCCTTCCTTACACCTTATACAAAAATCAATTCAAGATGGATTAAAGACTTAAACGTTAGACCTTATACCATAAAAACCCTAGAAGAAAACCTAGGCATTACCATTCAGGACATAGGCATGGGCAAGGACTTCATGTCTAAAACACCAAAAGCAATGGCAACAAAAGCCAAAATTGACAAATGGGATCTAATGAAACTCAAGAGCTTCTGCACAGCAAAAGAAACTACCATCAGAGTGAACAGGCAACCTACAGAATGGGAGAAAATTTTTGCAACCTACTCATCTGACAAAGGGCTAATATCCAGAATCTACAATGAACTCAAACAAATTTACAAGAAAAAAACAAACAACCCCATCAAAAAGTGGGTGAAGGACATGAACAGACACTTCTCAAAAGAAGACATTTATGCAGCCAAAAAACACATGAAAAAATGCTCACCATCACTGGCCATCAGAGAAATGCAAATCAAAACCACAATGAGATACCATCTCACACCAGTTAGAATGGCAATCATTAAAAAGTCAGGAAACAACAGGTGCTGGAGAGGATGTGGAGAAATAGGAACACTTTTACACTGTTGATGAGACTGTAAACTAGTTCAACCATTGTGGAAGTCAGTGTGGTGATTCCTCAGGGATCTAGAACTGGAAATACCATTTGAACCAGCCATCCCATTACTGGGTATATACCCAAAGGACTATAAATCATGCTGCTATAAAGACACATGCACACATATGTTTATTGCGGCATTATTCACAATAGCAAAGACTTGGAACCAACCCAAATGTCCAACAATGATAGACTGGATTAAGAAAATGTGGCACATATACACCATGGAATACTACGCAGCCATAAAAAATGATGAGTTCATGTCCTTTGTAGGGACATGGATGAAATTGGAAATCATCATTCTCAGTAAACTATCTCAAGAACCAAAAACCAAACACCGCATATTCTCACTCATAGGTGGGAATTGAACAATGAGATCACATCATCATTCTCAGTAAACTATCTCAAGAACCAAAAACCAAACACCGCATATTCTCACTCATAGGTGGGAATTGAACAATGAGATCACATGGACACAGGAAGGGGAATATCATCACACTTTGGGGACTGTTGTGGGGTGGGGGGAGGGGGGAGGGATAGCATAGGGAGATATACCTAATGCTAGATGACGAGTTAGTGGGTGCAGCGCACCAGCATGGCACATGTATACATATGTAACTAACCTGCACAATGTGCACATGTACCCTAGAACTTAAAGTATAATAAAAAAAAAAAAAGAGAGAGATTCAGTAACTCATCCAGAGCCACACAGCCTAAGTCCAATAATCCTTGCCATACACTCTGAACTTATCTATTGTTCTACCATAGAGCGTCAATTGATTTTGGGTGGGGCCAATCATTCCATGCTTTTTTAAGCTCCTAGATGATTCCCTAGTACAACCAGAATAGAGAACCATTCCACTACAGGCCGAAACCAAAAAGAAAGCTTGCTAATGTCGCTTGGAAAGAATAATTTCCCTCCACATCCCACCCCAACACACATATACAAAAGCCACCCCATACAGGTGTTTCTCGTCTCCTCTCTCCGCAAAGGACAGTGCTGTTGGTCTGTCCTGAGATTTCAGCCTACAGGAATTTCTGAAGCCATATTCAAGGTGGGGGGGCAGGAATCAGCCACTTTCATATTTTGCTTGTTTCCCTGGAAAACCACAAGCTGTTATAAGGATTGTTATTAAGAAGTTATTTATCATTATTGTTGCTACGATTTGAAAGTAGAGGGGGTCGCTGTTTGTACTTACATGGCTTCCTCCAGAGGGAATTCCCGAATTCTCAGACAGCTCATTTAAAGCTTCCAAAATGACAAATATTCCACAGGTATCTGCTGCGTCCTCTCCTGTCCTGATTCCTGACTTCACATTTCAGCCTTTCACAACATGTGGCTAGCACCCCTGAGTTCTGGCTGCTCTGCTGAGGGGCAGGGCCACCGTTTATCACCCTCAGAAATCTGAGCCGCAAGTGTGGAACCATCTCACCACTCAAGCTGGGGCTCATGCTCCCGCAGGGTGGTGTGGGAAAGGCGGTGTGCCGTGAAGGCCAAGGGCCAGGTTATGGGCTGTCCCAGGGCTTGAGCTGCTTCTCCAGCAGCTCCTAGCCATGAAACCACAAACACTTTGCCTCCCCCTTCTGAGTCTTGGTGCCCTCATCCATAATACGGTTACAATATATACCTCACAGGCTTGTTGTTGTGAGGTTCAAACTAAATCCTTTATAAAATGTCCCTGAAACATTGTAGGTATGCAACAAATGTTGGCTATCTCCCCCTTAGTAGAAATCCGACTTCATGTGCACTCAGAACATTCTGTGAGAAAGTAAAATTGCTCTCTTTAACCTCAACTTTAAAACCTAGGGATATATCTTCAAGTTTCCCCATTACCTAATGATGACTATTATATTTTTACTCAATTTTGAAATTTACAAGTCATGTTCACATAGATCTTATCTCACTCTGGCCTAAAATGCTCCCATAAAATTGGCAGAACAAATTTAATCATTTTTATTTTATAGAATCAGGAACTGAAGTTCATAGAGATTAACATGCACTTTCTACAAGGACACACCCACTATCGGAACCCAGGTTTCTTGCAGCAAATCTAGTATTCCTCTCAAATGCCATCTAGGTTTCACCTTGGCTGTTACTTTCTAGCCAACCCTTGACTCCACTGCCCCATGTGCTCCCAAAGTATCTTGTACTTATTCTTTCATGGTACTTATCGCACTGTATTGCAGGGCTTCTCAAGCCTGACTATCTAACAGAATTATGTGAGACTTTTTGTAAAATATAATGGATTTAGGGCCTCACGTGATTTAGGTCCCACCTCCTTAATCAGGCGTCTATTTTTGTTTAAAGTTCTCCAGGTGACTCTGATGCACAGAATCATGCTTACTAAAGCATAAACTCTCTAATGGCAGCAACCAAATCTATTTTGTTCATCATTAGGATTCTGAATCCTTAAACAATATCTGGCAATACTATTCAATATTATTATCAATAACATTTACTGAGCATTTACTCTATGCCAGACACTATGATAAGTAATGTGTGTGCATTTGTTTCTGTTAATTCTGCCAATCGTCCTATGAAGAAGGAGTTATTATCACCCTATTTAAAGAGTGGGTAACTGAGGCTTGGAGAGGAGCTTGGGAAACATTTAGTAAATACATCAATGACTATTAGCAGTACAATTCATGCTTCCTACCTGCTTCCATGATAATAACTGGAACCTTCAAGAAAGTGATTATAAAATATGTAATAAAGGACTCTGGTACAGTCAGCTTTCAGGCACACATTAGTCATTGTCTCTAGAAAGTAGAATAGTAAAGCAGAGCCTTGGGAGAGCTTGGGGGCAGACAGCATGGCCCCAAGACACTATTTCTGAGTCCCACAAATAGCACATTTTAGTTGCTGAACCAATAGAAAATAGCCTGAATTCCTCCTAGATCATCTAATATTATTGTTCAATTTAAATACTTTTGGCTTCAAGTAGCAGAACTAATGTGGCTGAAACAGATGGGGACTGATTTTCTCATATAAGAAATCCTGAAATAGGTGGTCCTGATGCGGGCTTAGCCATTTAACAGCATCATTAAGGCCCCCAAATCCCCAAACGCCTCTCAGCTTTCTACTCTGCCACCTTCTCATTGTCAGCAGTGTTTCTGTTCACTGTCTCACGATGGCCACAGCAGCTTCAAGCATCCCTTCACCTGAAAACACCTGAAAACAGCTGAAAGCAGAAGGGGAAGGACAAACTCATCCATGTACCTCTCTCCTTTTTCAAAGGGGAAAAATGTTTCCCAGAAGCCACCTAGCAGACTTCCTCTTCCTCCTGGCAGTAGGTCACATAGCCACAGTTAGCCCAAAAGAAGTCCAGGGAAGCAAGCGATGGGCATGGTGGCATGGCATTGTCTTCTCTCCTGTGAGAGGTAGGACTTATCACAAGGACAGAGGAGGGAGAAAAATGGTTGCTTCTTAGACAGTTTATTATCTCAGCCTCAAATAATCTTTATTTAAAGTACTACTAAATCAACTAGATTCGCCTTTAGAATATTTTCAAAACCTGTTTGGCCCTATGATACGAATCCAATGTTGTTGAAGAAAGGGGCATGTCAGCTCCAGAGATCTCTAGACGACTGCTCTATGGACAGTTAAAGACTTTGGCAACAGCAGACATGTGATGATGGCTAATGCTCTCCTCTCCTGTTTCCAGGTCAACAGCGACCTCATTTACATTACAGCTAAGAAAGATGGCACTCATGTGGTGGAAAATGTGGATGCCACCCACATTGGGAAATTAATTGTGACCAAACAAATTGGAGGAGATGGCATGATGGATATTACTGATACTTACAAATTCCAAGAAGGTAATTTACTACCACTGAATGAAGATTTATTTGCCCAAGTCCATTGAGTACTTATTCATTGTCACTCAGAGATGAGTTCCAGAGAATGCACTGGCATTTGCAGCATTTGGTAGCAACAGCAGAAGTATAAACTTTCACGTGTGAAAGACACGTCACATATGCAATTTTTCATTGTAGTTTTCTTTGCTAGCTTGCTTTGGGCAGAATTCTCATTCACGTGGCTTGTAAAATGATTTGGTTTAAAGTCATACCTAATTTAACAGAATATAGAATATGTTCTTGCTCACAAGAACCTTAATTTTAAATAATCCTATTAGAAAACACTGTATAACTAATGTAATTTTAGTCCAATAATAGAAATTAAAATAACTACTTCACATTTGTTTAGTACTTTACCAATTATTTCCACATACATTGTTCTATTACATTATCATGGAAGACTACAACGTAGATAATACAATATTAATAGGACAATGCAATCTCTCTAACTCAGGACAATTAGGTCGAAGGCCAGTTTCAATTCCAAAATAATGTCATGGTGGGTTTTTGTTAACTTTTATTGCATAGAATGTTTCAAATGGCACTACTGAGTTTAATTCTATCTCAATCAATGCTTAGTGTCCGCTCTATGCCTGCAATTGGTTTGGTGCTGGCGATTCCAGCAGTGAGCAGGACTCAGTTCCTGTCCTGGTCCGAGTGACAGGATTATTGTGCAGAGGGGTCTTTGGAAACAATAAGTAGGGGCATTTAGTCCAACTGATTCAGAAAAAGACTTGAGAAGAGAAGTCGTGGACCTCGGTTAAAGAAGCTGGACAGGGGTTTCCAGACAGTGTGAACATGACCAAAGTTACAGGGCGTGCAGCAGCCCGGTATGTTTAGGGGGATCCTGCAGGCTCAGAATGCCCAGTGACTGAAGACAAAGCTGCCCGAGGCCAGCAGTGGCCAGAACTGGAGGACCGTGAGTGTCCTGATGGGGAACATGCAACATATTTTGCAAATGATTCACTGCCAGAGGTTCTTAGGAGTATTTATTTTTAGTAAATGGATAAAAATGACAAGTAATTAGCATATACCTAAATATTCATTGGAATCCATGAAGTGCTAAGGAGTGCAGAATTTATTTTAAATAGTTTAGACAGTCTCCCTGCTCTTATTTACAAAAGTAATTTGCACTACAAAGAAGAAGCTTGCTGAATTGAGAACACTTGTGCATAGTCTCAGAAAGTCAGAATTTTTGTTATCTGAACTAGTGAATTTTCACTGTATTTTTTAAATGCTTCATTTTCCTCTTCTGTTGGTTATCATCCATTGCACAACACAGATACAAAGGTGGTATTTTTTTGTCATTTGGATTTTTCCTTAAAGGAAAATTTAAAACAATATAAGTGCAAATAAAACAAAACAAACAAGCAATGCCCTCTTACTGTAGAGTTATAAGCAAAAAAAGGTTTGGAGAAACAAAAAAGCAAGTTCATAGAAAAGTTAGCTGCAACATCCACTCATTCATACATACATCCACACGACAGCTGGCTCTTACCATCTGCCATCTTCCAGTGCTGTGTAGAGCTGGATACATGTACAGCCCTGCCTTCCCATGCAGCTGGGGAGAAAAGCAGAAGGCAGCCCTCACTGTGCTGGGTGAGAATTGCTCTGGCACAGGGTGGACGGGTGCTGCCGGGCACAGAGAAAGGCTCTCAGCCAAGAATCGGCAGTTGGGGAAGACCTCGTGGAGGAAGTTAGTGATGGGCTCACTAAGCCCAAAGGACACACAAGAATTGGCAGATGAAGCTGGGGAAAGAGGTCCCCAAGAAAAGGCAGTAAGGCAAGGACTGTGGTGAGAACTCTCGTATTTGGAAGAAGTCCTGACCAGACAGAGTAGTGAAGAAAAGTTGCACCTACAGGCAGCTAGGGGCAGCAGGAAGCGAGCTGTCCACATGACAGATGTCTCTTGGAAACCATGGAGCCGAGCACAGCTGCCATTAGCTGTCAGCATGGAGGTGACAGTGAAGGCCAACTCAGGAATGGGACAGAATCAGATGCCACGAGAGGAAAGACTAAAACCCAGTCCACGAAACAGGAGTCAGGGGCTTGGCTGGGGGTGGATAACAAATTAAAACAAAATGTGTCCGCACTGCATGAGGAAGACATCTGAGGTCCAGGCCTCTAGAGTTTAGCAAGGAGGCAAGGCTGAGGGAGAGGGACAGTGTGGAGGTCTGGTCCAACTAGAAGAATCCCTAAATCCACATAGATGGTTGTAAGCGACGACTCATCCTGCTTCGGGGCTGGAGTTTGACCCCAAGTGGATAGTTTCTTAATCAAGGGTGGCATACACATTTCAAACTGGAACTTTGGAAGTGACCAAGTAGAATGTTGTTTTGAGAAGAACACCAAGACTGCATCTGAATGTGGCGGGTAGAAGGATTGATGGCCGCCATTGGCCACTGGCATGCAGTGAGGACTCGTCATATCCGTGGCTCAGTACTTACCACCCTGATTCTCACCGTTGAATCTCTTATAATTTCTCTGATCCACAAATGCTGAGTGTAGATACCAAAATATGGAAATGAGTAGAATCACAGGAAACAAATTATTACTAGATTTAGGACTTAACTATTTTAATGAATTAAATCATGGAAAGATCAGGTTCACTTCAACTTACTAAAGCTTATTATTAACTTTATAACTTTTTTCAAGATATATAATTAAGAAACGATAAGACTTTGAAAATCAGAATTTCTGAAGACTTCTCCTGTGGCAATATATCTTCTTTGATAACAGTGTCTTGATTCCATTCCCTCTTTGCTCCTTCAGTTACTTCCAGGGTCACTGTTATTTCCACCTCTCCCTCTCTATTTTCTCCTTCCAATCAGCATTTAAGCAGGCTCAAATATCTGCTGTGTTAAAAACAAAAATTACAAAAATCTTTTTCACCACTGTCTCTTCCTCCTCGCCTCCTTGCCGTCCTGGAGCGCTGCCTGGACTTGCGTCCTGCTGTGTTCCTTCTCCACTCCTTCCGCGCACACTCTGTCCTGATTTCTGCTACCAGCACTTCCTTGAAGTTGTTCTCAAGGTTGCCAAGACCACCCAATTGTCACAGGGAAGAAACATTTTGCAGACTTCAGCTTACTTGACCTTCCTATACTTCCTGGTGCTGTTGTTCACTCCCTTTGCTTGCAATTCTGTCTTTTCTTTGTTTCTACAATGTTACTTTCTCCTGGTTCCACCCCCTCCTGCCTGACCCTCTTTTCCTACCTCTTTTTGACTATAAGCTTTTCCCCTTTCTTCACCCTTTTCAAATTCCATTTCATTCTAGGCATCTATCCTTGGGCTCCATTCCCACCCACCTGATGTTCTTCCCACATAGCTGGTGTTAATGTTCACATATGTACCATCACCCCATGTCTGTGTCTCCACCGGGACTTTACCTAA
Source organism: Homo sapiens (assembly GCF_000001405.40). NCBI lineage: Eukaryota > Metazoa > Chordata > Mammalia > Primates > Hominidae > Homo > Homo sapiens. Next base: position 6,178,558 of record NC_000006.12, on the reverse strand, counting down.
ATGTCCTACAGAAACCTGACACGGAACTTCCCAAATGACACCTCTCACTCTCTCCCTCACCTCAGGTCCGTTTCTCCCACTCCCCCTACTCTGGTGAAGAGAACCACCATCCACTCAAATTTAGCTACTTAAGAATGAGTTAAGCAACAAATCCTCTAAATGTCCCCTCTGAAATTGTTCTCGAATGCATCCCCTCCCCTCCAGCTCTGTAGCCTAAAAATTAAATATTATCTGGTGTGTACAACTCTTAATATAGTGCCTGACACATAATAAGTGTCCAATAAAAGTTTCCCCTATTACTAGTAATTCTGTTATTCCTGCCATACTACTGCTATTAGTTTGGGCTATGATTAGTTTTCTCCTGGAAAAATACTTGCTCTAGCTTCCCAATTCCACCTCACCTCCTCAGGCCCTCCTTCCCTCAGTCTAGCCCCTGCCTTGCTGCCAAAGTAATATCTGAAATATAAACCTGAGCCTCTCCCAGCACTGCTTAAAAGCCCCACCCCCCCCCCCCTCTCCCTGTGGCCTCCAGGGCATCCAGTCCTAACTCACAAAGCCTCTTGCTAAGTGGCTTTTCGGCACCTGGTCACTGCACCTCCTGAGCATGCCCCCACAGGTATTGTATGCAGAGGCCAGGGACCTGCCAGCAGTTCCTCCAACAAGCCAAGCCCCCCACCTGCATCCCTGGTCTTGCCCTCGCTCCAAAAACTCCGAGAGGCCTCCCATGCCCCTTCCTTTCCCCATGCACTGCAGGCCAACCTCCGTCCCAGCATCTGTGGTGAGCACCTGTGTGCTGCCATTGCTCTTCACGTGTTCCTTCTGCACCAGTGAGGGAAAGACTGTTTCTCCTCTGTGCCTAGTGCCTAGCACGGTGTTTGGAACATTATGGGGTTTCCAACAGCATGAGATGATTTGAATGAATGGTTACTGGGGAGGCACTTTCACAGCTAGGCTTAGTTGAACATAAAATGTCCTAAACTGGACTATTATGAAGAGGAAAGTTTTGTCTCTGGCTGAAAGCAAAATGCTTCTCCAAACCTCAATCCTTCAGATCCTCTGTGCCAGGCTGGGTTTCAGGGCCTGGGGATGCAGAGGTGGACAACATGTCTCTGTTCTCATGGAGCTTGCATTCCAGCAAGGAAGATAATGTCACACAGTAACTAGTACTGTGACAAGGAAGAGGAAATAAAACCAGGTATGTGTTAGGGAGAGCCGAGAACACTAGGGTTTGAGGACACATTACACAAGGTAAGAGGGGGAGGACAGGGGAGGTGACAGTGGAGCTAAAGCCAGAAGAATGAGAGGCTTCGTCCAACATAAAAGGGCTCTCTTATTACATCCTAGTTAATGGAAAGATATTTTTGACTTTGCACCCAGAGGCTGCAGAAGAATCTCAGAAAATATAATCTGGCTTTGGATATGTCTCTCACTGCACTAAAATGTTGCCTGTGGCCCTGAATTATGTAAGATGCCAGAGCACGCAGCATAACTGTAGAGAAACAGGAATTACTCTGCCAGGCTCTGGGAAAGCCGTGCAGTTGTTTTCTCCTCTCTGGGCCTGCGCTTCCTGGAACAGCCCCAGCCTGCTTCTGTTTGGCGGTCTCCGCTCACAGAGGACAGTGCTTCCCCAGAAGGAAGCTCCAGGTTCCTGCACCCATGGCAGGCTGTGAAGTTGCTTGTGGCTGGCTTCAAGGCTTCTTCTCCCATTCACCTCACCTTGGCCAGCTCAGCTCCTCTCTGATGTGTTCCTGATGCTCGAATTTCCCTCCTGCATTTTGCCTCAATGCATCTCTGGCCCGCATCCAAAGTGATCATCATTAATGTTCTCTTCTCATGGATCTATTGGCCAGATGATTTCTGCTAAAAGATTTCACTGCACTTCCCTTGTCCTCACTCCTCCTTCCCTTTTTCTTACCTCCCTCCGAGTGCTCTAGCTGATGCTTGTCCTAGACCAACTGTTCCTGGCACATTCTTGCAGTCTTGACAATCAGGGAAATCGTTAATACACACACACACTACACATTCACATTCGTATGCAATGCCTTCTGGCATTTTTTCTGTCTTTGCAGAGTAGCTTCCATTTATTATATATCTACTTCCTCTAATTCACCTAATAAACCTAGGATGTAGACACCCTTATTTTACAAACAAGGAAAGTGATGGTAATAATAGTGTCTGTCTTATAGTGTTGTTATGAGGATTAAATGACACAATGCATCATAAGCACTTATGCCAGTGCTTGGCACAGAGCTAGCCCTCAGTGAGGGTTCTGATGATTCATTGACCTCTCAGTCACCATTGCATTTTATTATTAACTAGATAAAGTAGAAGACAATACCTTTAAACTAGCATAATTATAAAAGCTAGGATTCTTATTTTAAAGTGATTTTTTTTTCACTAGCCATTCTCAAGCCTAGTTTTTACAAGCCAAGGAATTTGCCTTCATCTTCTCATCTCTATCCTTAGGGATACACAAAGATAAACCCAAAGGTATTTAGGATGGAAAAGAGGATGATGACCATCCCTCACATCTGCATGAGCCCTGTTTCCAAGCCAAAGCCTTTTGTCCAAGGCTCTGTAAGGACCGTTCTCCCACCTTCCCAGTGTCTGAGGCATAAGCTCCTTCTGAGGCCTGACTTGTATCTGTATTTTCTGCCTCATCACTTAGACAAAGCTATGTTTTTCTTCTTCTGGAGGTTACCCTCCTCTTTTTCCTCCCTTCATCTCCACCACAACCACTTTGCAAACCCTGCACAAAACATTTTCCTAAAAGCAGCACACACACCTCGAACTGCATTAGAACTTAGGTGCACCACCGCCTGTCAACAGATGTCCCTCAAAAAACTGCCCTCCGTGTCAGATGAGTTTGGGAAACCTTGTGTAAAGAAAGGCAAAGAGGTGTCCTTGCTGCTGGGCTTCACTTAGAACCTCTAATTTGCTAATTAAGGTGGAGAACATCTCCAGGAGGCGCTGGACAACTAGGGCATCTCCAAGGGATCTGACCGGAGCACCTTGGGCAGGGTCGCCTTTTTAATGTCTTGCCAGAGCCCAGCATCCTTGGGGACTGGGGGATGCAAGTTTTGGTAGAACCTTCTGCCATGGCATGGGTGTTGGGGGCAATGGCAATTGAGTGAGATAGGGAAGAACGGGGCAGGAGCCCTCAAGGGTCAGCTCAGCAAACAGCAAGTGGGACAGGCCCAAGTGGAAGGAGAGATGAGGAAGACAGGTCTTATTGGGGGGCAGGTATTCACAAATCAGAGAGAAAAGTTACATTGCAGGAGGTGGAATGGCAAGAGGCAATTATTTCCAATTATTAGAGGTCCCCAAATTCTAGCCACATGGCTGGGACTAAGAAAAGCAAGCAAACTGACACCACAGTTTAAGAAAAGATAGACATTGCCAATTTTACCTCCCACCCCCTGAAATAGTGGCCCCGGAGAAACCCCTTTCTGGATAGATCCCAACACTGTCACCTCCTAACTTGCAGCCTAGGCTGGTCACTGACTGTCTGGCAATCTGACTTTGCAGAATTTATAACATAGGAATAATGACGGCACCCTCCTCCTGGGGAGGTCTGAAGCTTGTATTATAGAAACACCCCAACAAGTGCAGTACACGGTGCATCCATTAATGTGACTTTCTCTCTGGTGGATTGTATTTTTGCCTGTCATTATCTCTGGATCTCCCCCAGGTCAAGAAGAAGAGAGATTGGCCCTAGAAACTGCCCTGATGTACGGAGCTAAAAAGCCCCTCAACACAGAAGGTGTCATGAAATCAAGGTCCAACGTTGACATGGACTTTGAAGTGGAAAATGCTGTGCTGGGAAAAGACTTCAAGCTCTCCATCACCTTCCGGAACAACAGCCACAACCGTTACACCATCACAGCTTATCTCTCAGCCAACATCACCTTCTACACCGGGGTCCCGAAGGCAGAATTCAAGAAGGAGACGTTCGACGTGACGCTGGAGCCCTTGTCCTGTAAGCTAACAATGGTGTGGTTCTTTCTGAGACTCGCTGTCTGGCCCCTGTCTTGCTAGGTGTTAATGCCCGTTATAGCTTTATATCAAAGTTAAAGTTCCCTCCAAGATCTCAGAAGTGTGAGCCTCACAGGGAGAACCCACTCATTCTGCAAAAGCCTCCACTTTCTTTTTTTTTATTTTTATTTTTTGAGATGGAATCTCGCTCTGACACCCAGGCTGGAGTGCAATGCGATGATCTTGGTTCACTGCAACCTTTGCCTCCTGGGTTCAAGCAATCCTCCTGCCTCAGCCTCCCGAGTAGCTGGGATTACAGGCACATGCCACCACGCCAGGCAAATTTTTGTATTTTTAGTAGAGACGGGATTTCACTATGTTGGCCAGGCTGATCTCAAACTCCTGACCTCAGGTGATCCACCCACCTCGGCCTGCCAAAGTGCTGGAATTATAGGCGTCAGCCACCGCACTCGGCCCAAAAGCCTCCACTTTCATCCTCACGTCTCATGCACAGAAGTGAACATTGAAAATTTCAAAGCCTAGAGCCCCATGAGTTGTGAGAATTAAATGTAACTTCTTGCTACTCAAAGTGTGGTCCATGAGCCAGCTGCATCAGCATTCCCCAGGAGTTTGAAAAAAATGTAGAATCTCATGTCCCACCCCACACCCTCTGAATCAAAATCCATGTTTTGACAAGATCCCAAGCAGACTGGAGTGTACAGGAGAGTTTGTGGAGCATGGATCTAAATGATCCATCTCAGAAACAGGCCCTCTGCTGGTGCCTCTCGCCCAAGTTAGGAAAGTCTTTTGGGGGCTGTCCAGAATGAATAGTGTGCTTTGCTTTCCCATTCAAAAAGATACACGCGCTGACATAGGCCGCTTCTTAAAACGCTGTCTCCTGTAATCTCAGCACTTTGGGAGGCTGAGGTTAGCGGATCACCTGAGGTTAGGAGTTCGAGACCAGCCTGACTAACATGGTGAAAACCCATCTCTACTAAAAATACAAAAATTAGCCCGGCGTGGTGGCAGGCACCTGTAGTCTCAGCTACTCAGGAGGCTGAGGCAGGAGAATTGCTCGAACCCGGGAGGCGGAGGTTGCAGTGAGCTGAGATCGTGCCACTGCCCTCCAGCCTGGGTGACTGAGCGATACTCCGTCTCAAAAAAAAAAAAAAAAGAAAAGAATGGAGGCTGGAAACAAAGCTGTGTCATCTAGGAGGGGCCTAGGAAGAGGTTTTCTGCCTCTGCCATCTCTTGTGGGGCCTCTTTCTCGTCCTTGCATGCACATCCTTCCAAGCATTTTCATCACTGTAAAAACTCAGAATATTTTAAGCAGATCAGGGTCCACGTGCTACAGCTTGCCTTGGGGATTACAATCTCAAAAAATCACATTTCCTAGGATGTTCGTATTTGGTGGGCACAACAGTTGACCACACGATGGGCAACACAAGTCCATTGGAAGAAACTGGTCTCTAGGCAGAGAATGAGTTAGAGCAGGTTGCAAAGGACCTCGATACTTTGGGGCACCAATTTCTGTTGGCCTGACATGGGGCACTGAAGAGAAAAGTGTACAAATAATAATTTTGACAAAGCAAAGGCAAGCAAAACTAATACGCTCCCCTGGGATGGTCAAGCCACAAGTCTGAATTGCTCTCAAGCTCTCTGGATTTTGTGGCTGTCACAGATCATGGTCCCCTTACTGAGGTTTTGGAAAATATTCCCAGAAAAATGAGAAACTATTTTTTAAAATCCTAATTCCAAGGAACTTACTCAAATTTGAAGGAAGCAAATCTCCCCAGCTTCAGTAATGGAGCTAACAATTAAGAAATCACTATAGTGGGGCCAGGCATGGTGGCTCATGCCTGTAATCCCAGCAGTTTGGGAGGCTGAGGCGGGTGGATCAACTGAGGTCAGGAGCTCGAGACCAGCCTGGCCAACATGGTGAAAGCTCATCTCTACTAAAAATACAAAAAATTAGCCAGGCGTTGTGGCAGGTGCCTGTAATCCCAGCTACTTGGGAGGCTAAGACAGGAGAATCACCTGAACTCAGGAGGTGGAGGTTGCAGTGAGCCAAGATCGTGCCACTGCACTCCAGCCTGGGGGACAGAGCAAGACTTCATCTCAAAAAAAAAAAACACTATAGTGTTTTCTTTGGAAACTAAAAGCTTTGGCACTTTTCCTATTCCTAGGGTAGTAAAGGTAATTTTCATGGAAAAGAATAGTCAGTGTAAAGGACTGAAGAGGACAACAGTCATGGGGATTGTTTAAAACAGGCAGCCACATTTGATTTCAGAGAGTTTTGCAAATAGACAATTCTGGATGTAAGCGATGACTGTGTCACCTACCAGCTGTGTTTCCTGAGCAAGGTACTTAAGCACTCTGAGCTGTCTCTCCTCATCTGCAAAGGGGAAAAACAGCACACACACCCCGGGGTTCTTGATTCATTCCCCTAACCTTTATTTAGTGCTTGCAAGTCCAGGTTCTGTTTTATGCTGGAGACACAGCAATGCCTATTCTTACTGAATTTCTGATCTCATGGGGGAACCAAACAAACAAGTGAATCTATAGTATAGTTATATGGGTAATAGAAAAATACAAAGCAGGTTAAGGAAAACGGGGAGTACCTGTGGAGATGGTCAGAAAAAAAACCCTCTCTAATGGGGTGACATTTAACAGAGACCTGAGTGAAGGTCAGAAGTGAGCATTCCAGCCAGAAGAAACTGTATGTGCAAAGGCCCTGGGGCCAGAGCATGTCTGATGTGTTCAATGAGCAGGAAGGAGCCAGAATCAGGAACAAAGGTGGCAAGGGGGCAGTGCTGGGTGCAGACCATATAAAGAATTGTAGGCCTTTATAAGGCCTTTGGTTTTTATTTTGAGTGAGCTGAGGAGCCTTTAGAGAGTTTTGAGCAGAAATGTGGCATAATCTAACTTAGGTTTTGAAAAGACCACTGGCTGCTGTGTTGAGAAGAGACTAAAGAGGAAGTAGGGCGGAAGGTTAGAGACTGGTAGGATGCTTCTGCAATCACTCCACTGAAAGGGGTTGATAGCAGTGATGGAAGCAGCGAGAACCAGTCCGATCTGGGCATGTGCTGAAGGTGGAGCCCGCCTGATTGGCTGAGAGACTGGATATGTGGTGTGAGAGAAGGAAGGTATGGAGGAAGCCAAATGAGTGATGAATGTGAAATGTGTGCCACATGGTAGAATCTTAGTAAATGGTAACTTCCAACATGTTTACATTTGGGGAAACTGAAGCTCGAGAGATGAGTCGATGTGTTCAAGCCCCCACACAGCAATGAGAGGCAAAGCAGATAATAGAGTAGACAGATAATAGCAGTGACAGTGAGCCAGTTCAGGGTAAACTTGGCCCCAAGTGGGCCAGGTCCCTTCCTTGTGCTCCCATTACCTGGAGTCTAGCACAGATCCTTAGACAAAGAACCAAATGCCAGCCCTTTTCCCACCTCACAAGTGTCCTGTCTCATAATCTCCTTCCCCTTCCCTCTTTAATCCAATTAAAGAATGAGCTTGTATGGGTGAGTAGAATGATATCATTCTCTCAGTCATCGACCTAGGGACAGCTGACCAAACCTATGCCTGAGTCCATAGGAACACATCTCCCATTCGCTTGGCCAGCCCCAGGTTGTCCTGAATAACTTGAAGGGAACTGGAGACTCTTTGTTCCTTTGCCCTGCAGGCAGGTGGTATTAACTGTGACCAATAAATTGTATATTGAAATATAAATTAAATTGCAGTGTATTGCAAAAAGCCACATAACTTCAGGCCTTGATCAAGCATTCTTAGATGCCTCTGCTGCAAAGAAAGCTTTCCAAGTAGAATGGGAGGCATACTTTCCAGATTGATGATTAAAGGGAATGTGTGTGCTGGAATCAGCTTGGGAGATCTGAATAACTTAAACCTCTCCGTACCTTCAAAGGTGCTATCATTTCCACTTGGCTATATTTAGTTTTCTTTGCTTTTTGGAAAAGAGATGAGGCAGCTCCAGTCTGTGTCTCCCTTGGCTTTCCCCAGACACCGTAAATGATATTGGCAGCATCCCAGCCCTACCGCTCATAGAGCGAAAACCTATTCCTCCTTCTCCTGCCACGTTTAATAAACTTTATCTAGAACAATTTCTTGTGCAGTGGCAAAACACAGCACTTACATAACATACTATTTCAGAAGCACTGTTCTCTTGGGCTCTGAAGCACAGCCTGGTTTCTTTAGTGCTATGATTTAGGGAGTGTTCTACCTCAGAGAAGAAAGGGGTCCTGATACTGAGATTATAAAGGTAGCAAGAGCCTCTGTAAAGAAATCATATCCCATTAGCCAAAAGAAATCCAGTGGTCAAACATAGTCCTCTAGAAATAGTCAGAAGAAGTCATTTTATTATTGTTATTACTGGAAACAGCTAGAGGCAAAAGGCATCTTCTTCGAGGCCTTCCACCTTGCCACTTCATCCATTCTATCTAGAGACACGATAAACTGACCATTTGTGCTCATCTGAGGCTGTAACCAATAGAGGGCCAGAACCTCACTCATCTAAACAATTAATTGCAAGGGGAGCCATGGAGGAAGCAGGGTCCAGGCTTAGGTCCAAAGACAGCAATACGAGAGCGGGTCATTCCAAAAGGCAGGACCTGGGGGCCAAGGTCAAGGCAAGGTCATAGCTTTAAAGAGTCAGCTCTAAATGGAATAGCTCTGCCCCAGGAATCAAGCCAACAAAGCTAGCTCTTTAGCGCTTGCCCAAAATAGGCCAATACATTCTAATAATCCACCTGCCCTATGCGGGGTTTCTTGGTTTCAGCACCATTGACATTATGGGCTGGATACTTTGTTGTGGGACTATCCTGTGCATTGTAGGATGTTTAACTGCATTTTTGGCCCCTATCCACCAGATTCCAGTAGTAACCCACCCTCCACCCCAGTTGTGACAATCAAAAAGTTCTCCAGACATTGCCAAATGTCCCCTGGGGATAACATTGCCTCCTATTGACAACTACTAGTCTAGGATGACCAACCTTTCTAGTTTTCCAGGGATTGATGGGGTTCTCAGGATGCAGGCCTTTCAATTTAAAACCCAGGTAGTTCTCAGTCCACCCTAACTCTGCCCTAACTTACCCCTTCTGCTGTTAGAACCTCCTGTCTCTCAGAGTATCTCACACTTCAATAGGCATTGTCTGGGGTCTTATTCAAATGCAGATCCTGACTTCACTGGTGCAGTAAGAAGTCAGAGAATCTGCATCTGTAACAAGCTCCCAGGTGATGATGGTGCTGCTGGTGTGCAGACCGCAGGAGGAACAGCAAAGACCTGGACTGGAAAGCCATCCCTTCCACTGGAACCCAGGCTGTCTGCAGGGCTGATTCTACAGGGATGCCCCTGGTTGTTGGAGTGGCCCTTCTCAACCCTGGCTGCACATCAGAGTCAGCTGCAGAGCTGTTAAAAATACAGATGTCTAGGTCCTCCAAGGCTCTGATTTAATTGGCCTGGAATGAGAGCCAGCTTGGTAGGTCTTTAAGGGTCCCCAGGTGATTGTGATATAGAGCCATGACTGAGAACTCTTCAATCAGAAGTCCTGGAAGCAAGGCACAGCACTTACGCATCTGTAAAGAGACTTCCAAATAGAAGTGCTGCCCAAGACAGAGGCTTTCCCAGCCTCTTGGTCTTCAAGGTCCAGAGCAAGCTGCTGCAGATCCATCGCAGGTGTGAGAGTTCCTCCACAGATGATGGGCATGGCTCAATGCACCCACACCTTCGAGCCAGTGGGGAGTCAGGGGCCCTGCCCTCTGCTCTGGTGCATGCCCATCCACAGGCACCCCACCCTGCTGCAAAACTGCTGTTCAGTACAGCAGGCTAAAATGAATTACCCTCTGTGCTCAAACTGTTGGCCATGAAGCTGTTTCCTTCAATAACTTCCACAGGAAGGGGAAGTCTTTGGCAAAAGCCAGAAACTGAGAAGGAAAGCAGTAAAGACATTCAGTTCTGTGAAGGTTCATAGAGTCTGTTCTCTGTGGCTGGGGATGGAGGAATGAGTCACCCATTCACCTGCGGAGTCTGCCAGCTGTCGGCACATACAGGCATCTGGCTCCAACCAGGTAGCAGTGGGTGCACACCTGGGCTCAGCCTACAGAAAAACTGCCCATTGCTCTCTAGAATCCTGGACAGTGGGAAATGGGAGTTAGAGAGAAAGTGAGCCAGAGCCACAAGATAGAACTCACCATCCTCAGCCCAGATGGTAATTGGAGGGGAGCCAGGACCACTCTCCATCTTCCAAATGCCATTCTCATTGGCTTGTCCCCAGGACCTAGAAATCTGACATCAGTGACTGGTTTCCATTGAGAAAACAATTGTTTGGCACAGAGGTCTTCTAAATCACAAACAGAGGTTCGGAGATAGTTGAATGCCTTTGGTAGAAACTGGTTTCAACAGCTTCCTTCTCTTAAATAGAAAAATCATATCAGATTGGAGAGAAAATGTGGAATGCTACAGAGAAAATGTGTAGGTAGTTGACAATTTAGTCTGAGTGTGGCCCATGGCCTAGGTGAGACACTTCTTATTTGACAAGGGATCCTATGTGGAATGGGGGCCTTGGACTTCAGCACCCCACATGTTCCATTTTGGGATGATCCCGGCCCAAATCAAAGCCACCATTAAAACCCATTGGTCCTTCTTTGCCATGAAAATCACATCTTTTCCATGGCATTTCTTTTACAACAGCAAAAGAACTGTTTGGAAGGTTTGACACATTTTCTCCAGTGAGACTTCAATGAATATTAAATTTCCAGCACATTCTTTACCTAAGAAGCAGGACAGCTTATCCCCAATTGACTCTTTGTTCCACTTGCCCCTTACCTTTGCTGTGTTCCTGGTGGCTTCCAGGCTAATGTGGGAGGGGTAGGGAAACTTGGAGAAAAGTAAAGCAGACCCTGTCTCAAGTCTTGATGCCAGGCCTGTGTGTGTTTTCTCCTACTAGTCAAGAAAGAGGCGGTGCTGATCCAAGCCGGCGAGTACATGGGTCAGCTGCTGGAACAAGCGTCCCTGCACTTCTTTGTCACAGCTCGCATCAATGAGACCAGGGATGTTCTGGCCAAGCAAAAGTCCACCGTGCTAACCATCCCTGAGATCATCATCAAGGTCAGTCTTAGCGTCTCATCCTGGAACAGAGACAAAGGCACGCAGACTTAGTGTTCATGTGTGCATATGCGTGCTTGTATGTGTGTGTGTGTGTGAATGAATGTCCTGCTCAAAAAAAAAAAAAAAAAAAAATACCAGTGCTAGGATCCTCTTGTTCTTTGAAAGAAGTAAACTGCCCTATATATAGACACATACATATAACACTTTCCTCTCCTCTCCAGATTTAAATATATAGATGTGGCTGCAGATATAAATATAACCTGTGGGTATAAACACACTTGTGGAGGAAGATAAAGATGTGTAATGGCTACAGATACTTAGAACTTTCAGTGTCTCCAGAATAAAGTGGGTCAGGCATGCTATAAGAGGTAGATAAACTGCCTGCAACATTTTGGACAGTAATATTGTTTATGGAGGTATAATTGTGGATAGTAGATTGCACAGATCAAAATATACAGCTTGATGATGATTTTGTATGTGCGTGTGCCTTGCAACCACAAGCCAGATGAAGAAATGGAGGATTTCCAACACCCCTAGAAGGTTCCCTCTTGCCTTTTACAGCCAATAACCCCCTAGACTATCACCAAGATAGTAACTTTTCTGACTTTTATCACCATAGGTTTGTTTTGCCCATTTGACCAGTAGTTTTCATGATGCCTCTCCAGTGATCACCAGAAATCTCTGCCCAAATGGCTCAAGAGACTTGGCAGAGGAAGGCCGAGGGTTGATGAGAGTGGAAGATAAATGTGGGAGCCTCTGTGCTCCTACTTCTCAGGCCCACAGCTGTAGCTTCTGGGGGCATCTGTGGTTGCATCCATGAGACGCCTTCCTGCCCTGGAAGCAGGAACCCAGGCTTCTGGCAGTGACCCTGAGGAGTGACATCTCATGCAGCCCTTATCCAGGTCTTAGAGCCCTTCCCTAGTCTCTGGAGAACAATCTTCTTGAAGTGATTAAGAGCAATTAGCACAGATCCTGCTAAACTACATTGCTCTAAAGTGGTAGATAAATCAAAGCTTTATAAAGTTGATCACATTTTAATGGTCCTAGAGGTGGGCAGGGTGAGGGTAGGTAGTCCTTGCTTCTCGTGAATCCTTTGCTGTGAGTCATTTGGAAAGCCAATGACTGCTGTGCAGCATTCAGAATGGCAGTGTTTCTTGGGTAACTACTGGGCTCCAGACGCTGTTCTTAAAGCACTTTACATGGTTGCATTTTCAACCACCAACAACCCCACAAGGTAAAGAGTACTGGCATCACTTTACAGATGAGAAAACTGAAGCACAGAGAGGTTCTATAACTCCTCCAAGGCCATACAGCCAGCAAATGGCGGAGCTGGGCTTCCAACCCCAGCAGGCTGGCTGCAAAAGCAGGGCTGGGAACCAGCTCCTTCAACTGAACGTTCTTATGGTCTGGTCCTGTGTAATTGACACAGTGAGCCACCCCAAGGCAAGTCCCACCCAAACTCACGGGCATGTAATGCCCATCAGGGAGCAGAACACCAGGCCCTTCTTTTCTACAAAGGCCTACATTGTCATGTCTCTTTGTTTCCTTCGCCTCTGTCATGGCCCACAGGCCCACCATGGCGTTGTGTGCACAGGACGCCTGAAAAGAATGAAAACGAGGCTGTGCAGGGTTGGCAGGCAAAGGGAGAAACAAATGCAAAATGGAGAGGTGGGGATTAGGGTTGCTGCAGAGGTACCATCATCCATGAGAACGTGAAGTTAATAGCTTAAGGTGCAGGATGCCCTAACCCCGAAGCTGTTCTTCACAGCTGGCTCTTCCTATAGACATGTGGGACCCCCTGCTGCAGGCCTGTCCCAGCTGCTTGGTGGAAGCAGCTTTTGCTACCCTTCTGGGCTATTGCGCAGGTTTCATTTATGAGCTCAACCCTGAACCTTCCCTGACAGCAGCAAGGCCTGTGTGCGTACCTAATTATGAAGTGACGGCCTGTCCCTGTGAAGGTCTCAGGAGAGAGGCTTCCCAAGCTGTGAAGTGCTCAAACCACAGCAGAAAATAGAATTTAATTGCACCACTGATAATAAACCGGATGTATGAAGGAAACTGATAACTTTCATCTTTTAGGCACTATTAATTTGCAGGATTATTTGTTAGTTATCTTCTGGGTTTACTTAAAGAGCAGTTTAATTCCCCAGGGCACAATCAGAATACCTTATCCCACAAGTTAGCAGACCTGGGCATGTAGAGAGTACTTTAAATGGAGAGTTATATTGTTTTGTGTTTCCTTCCACAAAGCAACCAGAGATGCTGTTCCTGGAGGAAACTTATTTAGAGGTAGGGACATTTGATAGGGAAGAGAGCATGAGAGAGATGGAGATTCTGGCTTCTGTCCATGCCAAGTTTGTTCAAAAAGGTGGAATGGGGCATCATCCCATAAACTGTCCTTTAACCATTAGCCCAACTAACTCCAAGGATAACCTAAATCCAAATGGAGTAGAAGTGCTCCTGGGTAAAGCACTCACACCCTAAGGACCACCCAGGAGTCACGGAGCTGTGAGAGGCCCTGAGTGCAGAAGCTCCGGCCTGTGGACTGGGGACCTGCCTAGCCTCCTGGAGAGGTGAAATGCAGAGTCATAGCAGGGGAGGGAAGGAGGGAGGGGAAGGGAGGGAGAGGAGAGAAGAACAGAGGGGAGAGGAGAGAACAGAGGAGAAAAGGATGGAGGGAGGGGAGGGGAGGGGAAGATGGAGAGGAGAAAAAGAGGAAAGAAAAGAGGAAGGCACAGGAGGGGAGAGGAGAGAACAGAAGAGAAGAGGAAGGGACAAGAGGGAAAAAGGAGCGAGAATGGGGGGGAGAAGAGAAAAACGGGGAGAGGAGAGTAATAAGAAAACTTCAAGTTGAAATATTCCAAAGGAGGCCTAGGGAGAGGGGTCAGATAAATTGTATAAAACACAACTCAATTAAGAGTTATTTTTTCTCCTTCCTTCCTTCCTTCCTTTCCTGTCTTTCTATTTTTATTTTAGATTTGAGGGTACATATGAAGGTTTGTTATGTAGATAAACACGTGTCACAGGGGTTTGCTGTACATATTGTTACATCACCCAGGTACTAAGCCCGGTACCCAGTAGTTATCTTTTCTGCTCCTCTCCCTCCTCCCATCCTCCCCACTCCAGTAGACCCCAGTGTCTGTTTGTTTCCTTCTGTGTGTTCGTAAGTTCTCCTCATTTAGCTCCCACCTATAAGTGAGAACATGCGGTATTACGTTTTCTGTTCCTGCATTAGTTTCTTAAGAATTATAGCCTCCATGGGCTTTTTTTTTCATATGCTTGTTGGCCATATCTATGTTCATGTCCCTTGCCCACTTTTTAATGGGGTTGTTTGGTTTTTTTCCTGTAAACATGTTCAAGTTCCTTATAGATGCTGGTTATTGGCAACATCACCAATCATCAGAGAAATGCAAATCAAAGCCACCATGAGATACCATCTCATACCAGTCAGAATAGCTATAATTAAAAAGTCAAAAAATAACTGGTACTCGTGGGGTTGTGGAGAAAAAGGAACACTTATATACGGTTGGTGGGAGTGTAAACTAGTTCAATCATTGTGGAAAACAGTGTGGCCATTCCTGAAAGAGCTAAACACAGAACTACCATTTGACCCAGCAATCCCATTACTGCGTAGATACCCAAAGGAATATAAATCATTCTATCATAAAGATACATGCACATATATGTTTATTGCAGCACTATTCACAATAGCACACACATGGAATCAACCTAAATGCCCATCAATGGTAGACTGGACACAATGCAGCCATAGCTGTAAAAAAGGATGAGGTCATGTCCTTCGCAGGAACACGAATGGAGCCAGAGACCATTATCTTAGCAAACTAACACAGGAAGAGAAAACCGAATACTGCACGTTCTCACTTATAAGTGGGAGCTAAAAGATGGGAACATGTGGATATATAGAGGGAAACAACACACACAGGGTCCTATTGGAGGGTGCAGGGTGCGGCGTGGGAGGAGGGAGAGGATCAGGAAAAATAACTAATGGCTACTAGGTTTAATATCTTTGTGACAAAATAATCTGTACAACCCTCATGACATGAGTTTACCTATATAACAAACCTGCACATGTACCCCTGAACTTAAAATAAAAGGTTTTTTAAAAATGAGGACTTGGAAAGGGAGCTAAATGCAGTAAAAGTACGAAACCACAATGGCTCAGAGGTCCAGAATTACATAGGATATGTTTCTCTAAATTCTAAGAAAACGCTCACACCCTTTTTCAACCTCTTTGAGCCTGGATGGACACACAACTGACTGAGCCTCAAGGTTGCTGTGGGCAAATGTGCCAGGCACAGGGTGAAATTATGTGAGAGACAGAGAGGAGACCACAGCCCTTCCTGCTCAGCTCAGTCAAGATAAGGGTTGGGACCAGCCCCTGGTGATTATGATGACAGCAGCTATGATTTATTAAGCACTACATTATTAAACGCCTCTCTTCTATGATCTTATTTAACCCTCTATACCATCCTACAAGGAGGACGTTACTATAACCCTATTTTACTGATTAGAAAACTGAGAGGACCAGAGAAGGCAGTGCCTTGTAGCACAGTGGTCAGAACATGGGCTCTGGAACCAAATCATCTGAGTTTAAAGCTTGTTTTCTGAACATCATAACTGTGTAAACCTGGACAGATCATTTCACCTCTGTTGGCTTCTGCATTCTCATCTGTAAGTCAAAAGCAATGGTAACTCTCCTCCTGGGGTCCTTGTGAGTTTTTTATGAGTCATTGGATGCCCGAGTCACAGTGCACACCTACATATGTTGGTTGCTGCTATTATTGCCATTATTGCTGTTTATTAGTAACTGGCCCGTGATCACGTGCCTGTTGAGGGAAGGAGAGACACTTCTGGCCCAGGTCTTCCTGACTTGGAAGCCTGTGCTGGCAGCCGCTGGGCTACAATGGAACTATCACAAAAAGCAGAGGTGGTCATTGACTTTGCAGAGAGTTTTGTATTCAAGGGAGGAGAGATCACACACACTTGAGTGGTGTGGGACATCAAGAATTAAGACTGTAGAAAGATGAATGGTCTCCAATGAACAGATAACGTTCAACCAGTAGAGATGGATGGAGAGACCCCTTCAGATACTAGGAAGAAAATGTTAGCAAGGGCTAGAGGGGAGGTGGACGGCAGTATGTAGAGCAGTGAGAAGCGTGCCTTGGCTGGGGTGGAGGCTGGGAGCAGGGATGAGTAAGGGTAACCTGAAAAAGATAGCTTGAGGCTATGTGGAGGGGAGTCTACAATTTTGGATGAGAGCTTTATCATCGACTCTCTGAACAAAGAGGCTTCAAGGGAGTTTCTAGAGTGGGAATGTAACATGATTGTCAACTCTGCTCTCCCACAAGTCGGAGCCGCTTTTTCTTCCTCCCTTCTCTTCAAAGCCTTTGCCCAAAGCATTGTCTTCTCCAGGAAGTACCCAACTCAGCCTTGGAACTGGAGTTTCCTAAAAGCTAGTTTCCAGCTGTTCTTACCTGATTCCCCTTTAGATCAAATCTAGGCCAATCTGGAACAATACTGGGCTCACATGTCTGAATCCAAGTCACCGTCAACCAAAGCAGGCCAGTGGCTTCCTGTTTGTGCATCCCAGTGGACCCAGTCGTGGATTTTACTGGTCCCTGTGGTGATAAAGATGGGGCCTGGGCTCAATAGTGCTCCCAGTCAACCATTCCCAGCACCCACCATGTGTGAGTCAGAGTGTGTGATCCTCACATGGAAACAGGCAGAGAGAGACAGTCATTAAACTTTAATGAGCACACGTCTCTTTCCCCATGCTATCAAAATATTTTGATGAGAAAAGAAAATTTCATTACAATCAGACATAGAATTTTTCTCTGCCTTCCCATGTGTTGCTTGTTCTCTCTCTCTCTCTCTCTCTCTCTCTCACACACACACACACACACACACACACATCCTCTCTCTGAACTTCAGTATCCCCTTTGCAAAGTGAATACACTATGATTATACTGCTCCTTCTATTAAGTACAGTCACATATAAAACACTGCACTGGGGGGATTGACATCTGTAGCAATGTTTGTGAGAATGCATGGCCCACGTCCAGACCTAGTAGCTGTTGGTAAATGTTCTTTCTCCTCTGTAGTCCCATCAATGCATGGGGGTTGCTTAGGGCAGCATGTGGGCCACTGGCCTGAAGTGGGCCAGTGGCCTGAGTGTGGCCCTCACCTAGTGGCATGGAATCTCTTGAATCTCTGGTCACCAGGTGTTGAGTGTATGCAGCATTCCCTGTGGAATGGGGCCTTCCTCATGCAGGGAGGCCCGCCTTGGAGATCCTGGAGTAAGGCCTAGGGGAGAGAGGAGACACTCACATGTTCCTCCAATGATCTCTACTCAGTACCTGCCATTCTAAAGCAGCTCAGGAGCCAGCACTTGTGTGGTATTATCATGTGGAAAAAGTCCTGCAGCCTTTGCAGGATGTCAGGAAGCACCAATAGAACTAATTTTCTCATGTGAACTAGGAACAATTTTGCTAGGAGAAAACATAACCATTTTTTATGTGTGTGATTTTTAAAGTTACAAGCATAAGCAAACAGATGTCTCCAAATTTTTCAAAAAAAAAAAAAGCTTTTAAAATGAGGACAATTGACTGTTTCCAAGAGTTTTTAAAAGTAAGCGTTTGCTCTGTATTTATTTTGTCCATTAGCTGAAAGACTTTCTAGTTTTTATTTATCTCTTTATTTAGTCACTCTTGCATTCATCCATTCTTCATATAGTTATTTGGTGCCCACTCTGTAAATAAATTGTAGCAAATGCCTAGAGCTTTCAAAACCATTATCAGAGAGGCCGGGTGCAGTGGCTCACACCTGTAATCCCAGCACTTTGGAAGGCCAAGGTGGCTGGATCACTTGAGGTCAGGAGTTTGGGATGAACCTGACCAACATGGTGAAACCCTGTTTCTACTAAAAATAAAAAATTAGCCAGGCTGTAGTGGTGCGTGCCTGTAACCCCAGCTACTCAGGAAGTTGAGGCAGGAGAATCACTTGAATCCAGGAAGCAGAAGCTGCAGTGAGCCGAGATCCCGCCACTGCACTCCAGCCTGGGTGACAGAGCAAGACTCAAAAAACAAAACAAAACAAAAGCAAAACATTATCAGAGAAAAATTCAACAGTGAGAACATTTTCTTTCTTTCCTTTTTTTTTTTTAGATGGAGTCTCACTCTGTCCCCCAGGCTAGAGTGCAGTGGTGTGATCTCGGCTCACTGCAACCTTCGTCTCCTGGGTTCAAGCAATTATCCTACCTCAGTCTCCCAAGTAGCTGGGATTACAGGCGCCCACCACCACGCCCAGATAATTTTTGCATTTTTAGTAGAGACAGGGTTTCACCACGTTGGCCAGGCTGGTCTCGAACTCCTGACCTCAGGTGATCCACCCACCTTGGCCTCCCAAAGTGCTGGGATTACAGGCGTGAGCCACTGCGCCCGGCCAACAGTGAGAACATTTTTGTTGCATTTTTCTGAAATGGGGAAAGGTTGCGCCACTTTCTTTCAGCACTGGCCCACCTGGAACAGCTCCAGGAGTGCAGTTGCTCTGTTTTAACCTGAGCTAACCAGCACTTACACAGAGCCTGGGGTGCTCCTCTTGCAAAGACAGTGTACATGGGGCCTGTGAAAGATGCTTAACCCACAGAAATCGACTTCAACAAGCAGAATATCTGCATGACCAGCACTGATTGGTGGGGAATTGTATAGATAACACAAGATCCATGGGAAGTATCACTGTTGACCCCGGAGAGGAGGCAGGGACCTTCCTCTGGGCGGCTTCCCTCCAGGCCAGCACTCACCCCTGTGCAGATTGTGCCCATCTGCAGGTGGGAAGGAGACAGTGAGGGGACCCAGTCCAGCCCACTCGCCAACCATCAAGCCCTGCAGCCTGGCATGGAGCCACATCCCCCCAAAAAAGGGGGTTCCCTTTTCCACTTTGCACAGTTGCATCCTGGCTCCAGCCCCATGTCCAGATCTCTTCCAACTTGGGACACTAGCTTGTTTTTTCTTAACAACCATCCTAATGTTGTGTTCTAACTGGAGCTTTTCATGAGATGCCCACAATTTTTACCGAGGTTAACAGTAGAATCCTCTTCAGTCTCCCTACGGCTCACACCCTGGAAACCCACCGGGATGGACCAAGGAAGGGTGGGTGGCTGTGGTGGCTGCTGATCTCACTCCTCCCACATCCCATTCATACAACTTTATCCCAGAGGACACATTAAAATTGGGGAAACCACTGGGCACGGTGGCTCAAGCCTGTAATCCCAGCACTTTGGGAGGCCGAGGTGGGTGGATCACGAGGTCAGGAGATCGAGACCATCCTGGCTAACACGGTGAAACCCCATCTCTACTAAAAGTACAAAAAATTAGGCAGGCATAGTGGCGGGCACCTGTAGTCCCTGCTACTCGGGAGGCTGAGGCAGGAGAATGGCGTGAACCTGGGAGGCAGAGCTTGCAGTGAGCTGAGATCACACCACTGCACTCCAGCCTGGGCAACAGAGCAAGACTCCGTCTCGAAAAAAAAAAAAAGAAAGAAAAAAAGGGGAAACCACTTGAGATATAATGAGTGCCCCAAACAAAGTACATGACAGTGACTGGCTACACTGTGAGACTTAACTGTAGTTTCATTTAGTGCTGTAAATATCACAAACTTCATTAAGGTGGAAAATGGGAACAGACTATGTGTTCTAATTATTGCTGAACCCTGACCATTTTCCCCTCCATGTCCACAACCGAGCACGTTCTCTCTCCAGCCTCCTGCACTCTCTGTGGCTCCATCGCACTCTCGTCACCAAGATTCACCCCTGCCCACACCCACACCCTTCATGGGGAGGCCGGGGATGGGAACCAGGAGGTGGGCTTCTTCACCTCTCCCCTTTGTGGCTCTCTTCTCTAACCCCTGAGAAACCGAATCCACGTCATTCTCCATAGAAGACCCTATAGGTGAGGAGGTTCTCAGGGTCACCCTGGCAACATGTTCTCCCTTTAAACCTCATATTTCATTAATGCTAGTATGTGTCAGATGCTCTGTTGTATGATATTACATTGAGTCACCCCACTAACTGCATAAGAAGCTGAGGCCCAGAGAAGTCAAGCGACTTGTCTAAAAACTCAAAGTGGCAGCCCCGGTCTTCAGCCCCTGCATCCAGCTTGCTCTCCCTTCAGCTTGGCCTGGAATAGCACCACTGTGTGCATCCCAGTCACCTCAGTTATGTCCGTGACACTGTTTCAGGTTATTTGTGGAGTAAATCAGAGGTATCTACCTATGAGTCCTGAGGGACTCTGAGCAAGGAAAGCCTGCTTACCCCAGGGGACCCTAGGAGGGGACACCTTCAGCCCTGCTCCCATAGCTGACTCTCCATCCCCTCGTGGCTACTTTCACAGAGGATTGTGGCCGTGGGACCAAACCGTGGGTGCCCTTAGCCAGGATAGATGATCGTAAACTATGTCTATGAGTGAGCCCTCCTCATCGAAGGTGTTCATTTCCATCTCTCTCTTCAGGACAGCTACAGAACAGTACACATTTTAGAATGAAAATGAGGAGTCACTGGTAACTGCGGTACCTAAAACATAATTTGCTCTGTGCATTTCATGTTTGCTATTTTTTTGAATCTTAAAAAGAGACACACATGAGAATAACCAATCTCACATTCCAGTCCTGTAATCCCAGTATGTTTGGGCTACTGATTCTCTTTTTAAAAGTGGCATCTCTCATTTTTAAAAGAGAAAATCCTAGATAGTGACTCCTATTATCATCAAGTAATATATATCAAGGCCCCAAGGCTACCTTGTCACATTTTACTCTGGCATAGAAATCTAATTCCTTCTCTATAAAGTCAAAAAGAGAGAGGTGAGTTATAGATGTTTTCTAATTTAGTTCAGGGTCAACTTATAATCCTCGTCCTCAACTGATGGTTTAGCGATAACTTAAAAGGTGATGCTGCAAATGATTCTTTGCTGGATTTCAGAAAATAAAGAAGCTATTCCAGCAAAAAAAAAAGTTTCTATTTTTACCTGTATTCTGTCAGGGATCACAGTATAGGTAGTTTTGAAGATGAATGTTTTAGAGTCAGAAAGACCTGGATTTATATCCAACTTCCGCCAGATTCCTAACTCTGTAGGCTTTTTATTTATCTTCTAAATTTCAATTTCACGTAAACAGAATGGGATTAATAATCATGTCTACCCCCAAGACCATAGGGCTGTAGAGAAGATTAAATAAGGTAGTGTAAGTAAACTGATGAACAGAATGCCTGCATTACTAAGTAAACACTAACTAAATAAATGTAAGTTACTTGTTATTATTGTTGTCATTAACCAGAGTCAGGATCACGTGTTGCTGAGCAACGGCTATGGCCCCAGACTGTCTACATTTGAATCTCTCCTACCCTACTTACTAATGGTGTGAACTTGAGCAAGTTACTTAACTCCTCTGTGCCTCAGTTTCCTCATCTATAAAATGAAGACTCCTAATATTTACCTCTTAGTGTTGGGAGGATTAAGTGAGTTGATAGAACTTTCTAGGGTAATGGGAACATTTTAAATCTGCTCCATCCAATGCAGTAGCCACGAGCCATATGAGGCTTTTGAGTCCTTGAAAGATGGCTCGTGCAACTGAGGAACTGAATTTTTTACATTTCACTTAATTTTAATTAATTTAATTATAAATAGCCCTAGGTGGCTAGTGGCTACTATATTGGAAAAATATAGACTGAGAACATTTCCTAACCACCCTAGAACCATTAGCATTGGTCAGTAAGTGTTCATCTAAGTGTCAGCTAAAAGCAGGGGCAGTGCCTGTGGTGATGAGCAGAGTTTGCAAACAAGAAATTGCCCATTATCAAAAATGATCACAGGCCAAGGGGGAGGGAAAAATACAGTTTCCAGAAATACGTGCAATACATGATTGAAAGTACTTGAAATAAGAGCTGTTAGGTGTGCTAATAAATCATGTATTTCAAATTGCCAACCTCACTTATTGTTACTCTTTCTCAAACTTTTTCCTTCATTTCAGTTTCAATTTTGAATACAGTTATGTATTTTTAAAGCATATGCTTAGTGGAAGATATCTTGTGATTTCTAAAAAAGTAATTTCTTTCCAAAAAGTTTATATAAGAGAAAGAGAGTATGTGTGTGTTAGTAACTTTCTTGTTTACCAAAGAATCAGAGTAGCAGCTCATTATCATGAATTAGTATAAAGGACAGGAATGTCAATATCAGTAAGTGATATGTAACTTGAAAAAGCATACTACGGGTTGATTTTTTTAAAACAGAGAGAGATATTTTCAATAGAATATTGAGAAAAACTTAAGGCCATCAAGTATATGCAAAAGCATTTGACGTCACCAAGTAAGACATATGCTTTATTCTTTTCTCTGGCCCAAGTAATGAATACTCTTCTCTAAAGCAAATACACATAAAAGTTTCTTCTTGAACTAACCTTCTCTAAATTGCCTGAAGGCTCCCTTTATTTAAGGTTTTATGAGAGCAAGAAAATGAAAAATATGACTGTGAAAATGAAATGAAAATATGACTATGCAGATATGGAATTATGCTTTCAGCAATAAGGAAAAGGGAGCTTTGCAGATTCCTAAAATAATGTGATGCAAACAGATATTTTCTCCCCAAATAGTCATTGTTCTCAGCATTTTGTAGGTACCATAGCATGGTGCATCACTGAAATCAACACATAACGTGAAAACACTATGTGTTGGCAGCATTTTCCTCAAAAGAAGCAAGGAGAGGGAGACACCTCCAGTTACATTTCCCAAGCAGAACACAGTGATGTCGAGCATTGGGTAGGTTTTTACATTTAGTTTGGTTTGAGTGTCTAAGGCTCATTATCATCAGTAGTCAGGGACAGGAAGTTTACATTCTCGGTGCAGGAGACAAGTGTCAGAAAAGGGACACTGGTCTTTGTTAATTGCAAAAGAAACACACTACAACCAGAGAAGGGCTTCTCCTCTCACCCCTCCCCATCCTTCTCCCTGCTCCCCACTCCAGCATCAGGGAAATCTGGGCAGAATTGATACACCCATGCCAGCATCTAATTACAGAGACAATACTGGAAGCAAACTGATTAGGCATGACATATGAAATTACCTGAGAAGGTTTAATGTCCTGAACATATTCAGATCTGAAGCCTATCTATGATGGCCCAATTGCATGGGCCAGTTTCTCAAATACTAAGCATTCCTTCTCACTGTCATCAGTGACCTGGAAGGGTGTATTTCACTTTCCACAGCGTAGGAGGCTTCATGTAGAGCCAGTCTACTGGTATGGGAAGGGTTCTTAATCTAGGGTTCATGGGCCCCTAGAAAACCATGTATGGACTTCATAGGTCTATAGTGCATCCCCTAAAAATACATGCCCATATTGTATATATCTTGTATTTGTCACTGTGTATGTCTGTGTAGAGGAAAGGTCAGTAGCTACTATCAGATATACTTTTGAAGGGGCTTATGCCCATCCTTATATAGCATACCATGGAGAAGACAGATGGCTCCAAAATATTTTTTCCAGAAAGAATATAGTGATCATAGCAAACACTTTTGCCAATAATGTCTCTGTGGCAGCTCCATCTTCTTCAGTTTAGAGAGCTTTTGTAAATGCTATCTTTATTTTGTATTTTTTAAATCCAAAGATGTTTTTGAAATGTTTCTTAATGCAGGAAAAAATATATTGGACACACTTGAGAATGAAATCAGGGACACCATGTAAAGTATTCTGATGTATTGCTACACCTTCAATATCTAAATTGATTGAGGCAGGGCCTCTGGGAAGAAAGTGAAAAATTCAGTCTGTCTTCCACATGTTTTGTCTATACCAGTGGTTTCCAACTGGAGGGCAATTTTGCTTACTAAGGAATATTTGGCAATTGCTGGAGACACTTTTGGTTGTGATGGCTGGGGTGCGGGGCTGCTCCTGGCATGCAGTGGGTAGACACCAGGGATGTTGCTTAACATCGTACCTGGCACAGGACAGCTCTGCAACAAAGATGCATCCAGCCCGATATGTCAGTAGTGTTGATGCTGAGAAGCCCTGATCTAGATCATGATTACTGTTTTTGCCACAGCCTTCAAACCAGGCTTCTCTCTCCACACCCCATGTGCCAGCCAGCCTAAAAGTAACTTCTGGTTCATGTTCTAGTTTGCCTGTCATTGAACCAGTCTCCTCCCCATTAGGCCTTATCCATTCTCAGTCTTGTCAGTGTGGCTTCAAATCCAATGTTGCTCCCACCGGTTTGAAAATCTCCCTTACTTTCTGACTGCCGTTTTTTTTTTTTTTTTTTGGACGTCAGTACGAAACAGTTTTGGTTGTCTTGTTATTGCTGAGTTGTTGGCTTTTCCAGCTCCTCTGACCTCAGAGTAGCACTCTATCTTAGAGTTCAAGATCTCCAGTTAGACAGACTTTAACTTCAATCCCACCTTGGTCATTTGGCAGCTTCAAATCCTCATTCAAGTTACCTATTTTCCTGAACCACAGTTTTCTCTTTTATAAAATGAAATGCCTGGCACCAGTGATCCTGCCCTAGAAAACCTCCTTCTTCTTAAGGGAATAACTATTATTATAGTCTGATCGAGCTGATACAAATATAGCCCTTGTGTTGTGAGGCTTATGTGAGAATATATGTGAATTATGGTTGTCAGCTGGGGCTGGTTCTTTGTAATCAACAGGGGTGCCTCAAATAAATGAATTACAGGATCCACCCATTACCAGACTGAGGATTGCTGGTTAAAGTGCTGGACTCCCTGCCTGGCACACGATCCATGCTGTCTAGGTGCACCTGCTGTTGTTGCTACCATGACCATCGTCTGCCCCTCTCCTAGTTCCCCTGAATCCAGCTCTCCACCACTGCCCTCCAGGAGATGCGGATTTAAATGTAACAAAGTTTAGGGAGTTGGCTGAAAGTTTCGTTTTTCTTATAGACTTAAGAAATCCCATAGCCATAAATTTAGTCACAAAGCATGGCTTGATGAGTAAAGCCATAAGAGTGTATTCTTCTTTTAATCGATATATAATAATTGTACATATTTATGGGGTACATGTGATTTTTCAATTCATGCATACAGTGTGTAATGATCAGATCAGGAAGATTTTATTCTTGACTGTAGCATAAGTAAGCAAGGGTCCTCTTCTCTGGGCAATGTCCTTCCTCTTTACGTCCATTCTTAAAAACGCCTCATTTCCATATATTTTCTCCCATATTATATAGTGGCTAAAGGAACATGGAATAGTAATGGCTGTGTTGTCATCTGGAAGATCCAGACATCCAGTAAATTCCATTTTTGAGCCATTGACTTAATTTAATAAATATTTACTGGACATTGGTATTGAAGTACTAAGTATTGGAGTTAAAAGTGGGCTGAAATATAAGGTGAATAAGACAAACTACCCAGAGCATTGCTACCCTAAAAAGCATCAACTGTAATGCATTGGGCCTTTGCCATGTGCCTTGCAATATGTTTGCCGTTTTATGAGCATTTTTCATTCCAAACCTTTCTTGCAAGGGAAGAACTATTATTCTTATCTTATTCCCAAGTTACTTAGAGCTTATACAGATCCATTCATTTGGTATACATAGCTCCTAAACAAACAAACAAGTCTTATAGCCACCTGGCATTTTGCGGCACATTGCGTTTATGTTGGAAAAGCATATGGTTCTAAAGTGTGTGGCATACAGTAAACACAGCTTAAGGTATAGTAATAATAAGAGCATTCTACATAGATCGCCCCATAAAAGTGTCAGCCCATTTTAAAGACAAGAAAACTGAGTCTCAGAAAGCCTAAATCACCTGAGTCCCCACTGTTAATAAGTGTTGAACCTGGCACTGAGCTCTGGCTGTCTCCTGTGGTGTTCTTCCAAATACCTGATACTTCTGAGAGTCATAATAGATCAACTCACCAACAAATAACCTTTTATTTTCCTGGACTCTGGTACTGTGGCTGTAGAAGAAAAATCTCCTTTACTTATTTTAGTATCCAGGTTCCTCTTCATGTTCAACAGTAAGGACTCCATCCTTGGCATATTTCTTGCGAATGTGTCTAAAACTAAGAAGGCACATGTGCCCTGAAGCATTTTCTACTTCTTAAACTCAGGAATCCCCTTTGTCCCAGCAGGAAACTTGATGCCTATCCAGAAGCAAAGTTCACTTGGCCGCCCTCACCGTGGAAACGTGTTGCCACACCAAATGAACTTCCCCCTCCTGCTGTCAAAGAGCAGTCAGTGGCCACCGCTATTGACCTGAGCTCTAATTAGGCTGGTTTTATAATGAGGAAAAGAGTGCGATTCTAATTAGTAAATTTCCATCTCTTTCTCAATAGGTATCCTCCAGTCAAAGCAATCAGCTATCCTCATCACACTGGTTCCATTGCCAAAAAAATAACTGTATCATAAAACTCTAGTAAAAGTGATGATGGTTAAGACAACAAGAGAGCAGAACGAGGTTTTATTTGGTGCTAATGACCTGCATTCTCTCTCTTAGGTCCGTGGCACTCAGGTAGTTGGTTCTGACATGACTGTGACAGTTGAGTTTACCAATCCTTTAAAAGAAACCCTGCGAAATGTCTGGGTACACCTGGATGGTCCTGGAGTAACAAGACCAATGAAGAAGATGTTCCGGTAAACCTTGGGTTGGGGAGACCGGGCAGGCAGTGCAGGGCTGTGGGAAGCTTTCTCTGTGTGTGTCTTTTCCAAACATAGATCTGCTCCCCAGTGAAAATGTCTTGGAAGCTGCCTCCTCCTTGCCGACCATTTCTGTAGGGCGTGGAGTAAAACTAGGGTTGGTTTGACCAGCACTTTCATCATTTAATCCTTAAAGACACCCTACGATGTAGATACTGCTATTATCTCCCTTCTGTAGCTGAGGAATTTGAGGCTTTGAGAGGTTGACTGGTTACACAGGTTCAGTTACACAGTTTATGAAAACAGAGCCAAGATTCAGACTCAGGCTGGTGAATTCCAGAACCCAAGTTTGAACCACTTTGCTGTACTACCTACTCACGTATGGTCTCTTCTCATCTTTATTGAGCTCCTACCACGTGTCAGATATTATGCTGAGAGATACCCCCTTTTCATGGGTGCTTTGTCTCCAGCCTCACCTCACAGATTTTACCATCCCAATCAGTGTCTACAACTGTTGGATTCAGGTTTTTTTTTAGTTGAGCCTAAAGAGCTCTAGATGGTTCCCCATTCAGGGGACCAAAGACAACCCCAGGTTCTGTAATGATATGAATGAAACTCAGCCTCTTCCACACACAGGCCACTTCAAATTGTGCTTGACAGGTCTCAGTTTCTGTGACTTCTACTAACAAAGAGTGTGACCCAACAAGATAACCCATTCCATGGTCAGGTAGCTCTAACAGTAAGGAAACAGGTTTTTCTACCATTTGATCCTGCCAATGATCCTAATTCTGCCATCTGGACTGACAGAAAGTAAGGCCCATCTCTTTTCCATCTGATGGTTTGCAAATGTTTGCAAACAGCTGTCTCATCTTCCTTGAATCTTTTCTACCTGGGGACAAATATCTGTCCTGACTTTATTTCCCTCTCCTCTAACATGGTTTCAGCTCTCTCTCTCTCTCTCCCACACATTCCAATTTGTCACTACTCCTCTTAAAGTGTGACACCCAGAATGGATCCCAATCTTTGAGGTTTATTACTTTCATTTCTACCACAAATAAGTCCTTGTCAGCATCAATCAATCTAGCACATTTCCTGTGGAGTGACCTTCTAAGGCATAGAAAGGGAGGTAGAGGACTTTGGAAACTGCCTCATGACCAGATATGTCAAGAATTTTCCCGACACCCTTTATGGAAGCGACCCCACTCTGGAATCTGTGGGATAAATGCAAGGCCTCACTTATACCCTCTGGGGCAACTTTATTGCCCATAAAGGGCTCTCCGCATTTCTTTCAAATTACAATGCTCGTAGCTTCTGCATCTCATCATTTAAGAGATGCCTTATTGCAGATGCAATAAACAACAGAGAAAATAATCTTAGTGCTTTTGAAACAACGCAAGCACAAAACATAGCAACCTTCCTGTGCTAACAGGAAAGTTACAGGAAAAAAAAATAAGTAAATTAGTAATCAACCCCAGCTACATAGAGAGGTCAGCAGCCATACCCCTGCTTTCGTCAGAAACGACAGTCTCACTCACCCATTCTCGCACCTTCCCACTCAAATCAGATGCAAGAATCGTTCAGGCAAAGTGAAACACGTTTCCTCTTCCATACAGCCCCCTGCTGTATCCAACTTTTTCCTTCCCAGACAGTAAACCCACAAGCTTTATCTGAGTGTACCGGAAACTTCTCTATCTTTACACCTTGGCTATCCCCCTAGAATTCCACCTTGGTCAAGGCCAACACATGAAAAAAGACACTGTGTGTCTTAGACAAAAGATGAATTATTACACAGTGAATTATTACACAGTGCAATGACCCACTATTTGGGAGGCCTCAGGCTCAAAATAGGTTAAATCTCCAGATGGTTTGTTTATTGTTAATGTCTGACATTGGAGTGGAGCAAAGTGGAGTGAATCGGGAGAAAGGATGGATAAGGCCAGTCCCTTCTTGGACACAGATGTCCTGCCCACACACTGGCTTAAGGTACTGTTAGTAGTTACTGCAACACGTAAGTCTAGGCAGACAAGTAGATAGACAGAGAGCTAGCTGCTCTTAGTCAGTTTGAGCTGCTGTAACAGAAATGCCATAGACTGGGTGGCTTATACAACAAACATTTATATCTCACACTTCTGGAGTCTGGGAAGTCTGAGGACAAGGTGCCGACCAATTCGGTTCCTGATGAGGGCTCCCTTCCCAGCTTGCAGATGGCTGTCTTTTCACTGTGTCCTCACATGGGGCAGAGAGAGGGAGGGCAAGTTCTCTGGCACCTCTTCTTCGAAGGGCACTAATCCCATCATGAGCCCCACCCTCATGACCTATTCTAATTTAGTTACCTCCCCAAAGCTCCATCGCTAAATGGTATCACACTGGAGTTTGGGTTTCAACAAATGAATGTGTGAGGACCACAAACATTTAGTCCGTAACAGTCCTCAATCTCTCTTTTTAAGTTTTTTTTACTGACACATTGTAATTCTACATATTTATGTGGGGCAATTTGATGTTTCGATACATATATATGTTGTATAATGATCAAATCGGAGTATTTAGTGTATCCATCACCCCATGCATTTATCATTTCTTTGTGGTGAGAACATTCAAAAGCCTGTCTTCTAGCTCTTTTGTAATATACAATACCTACTGTTAATCATAGTTACCTTATCATGCAATAGAACACCAGAACTTATTCCTCCTATTTAATTGTCACTTTGTTCTCATTGGCCAACCTCTTCCCATCTTCCCCTTCATGTTCTCCTCCTCAGTCTCTGGTAACCACTGTTCTGCTCTTTGCTTCTATGGTATAATAATTTTTTTTTTTTTAGTGTCTACATGTGAGTGAAATCATGTAGTATTTGTCTTTCCATGTCTGGTTTATTTCACTTACCATGATGCCCTTCCTCCAAGTCTAATTCATGTTGTTACAAATGGCAGGATTTTATTCTTTTTATGGCTGAATAGTTACAGAAACCCAGCTTCAGGGTGGAATATCTCCCAGACAAGAGAAGCTTTATTTCTCAGAGACAGTCAAAACTTGGGCTAAAAATCATGACATAGAAAACATTTGTTATCTAAGATGGGCTTACAACTTGGAGCAAGTGCCACTTTCTCTGTTTACTCCTCACTCCAGCACACACCTTCACAACCAAGACCTGAGCCAGTCCGTGCCCACTTCCATATGGTCAGATAATTAGAAGCACTCCACTGTGCCCTATGTTGCCAAGATCTGATCTAGGAGCGCCAGATCCATGTAACAACTTGGACGCCTAGAAAGTGCAATTCCACAAAACCAAAATCCTTTGCAAGACCGTATTTCTTTCTAGAATACAGCTCTTAAATAGTTGGGGAATCACCACCCCCACTCATTCACCCACACCCTGCCAGATGTGGTGTCTAGAAGGCAGGGGTTATTGAACCCAAAGCAGAGGGCCTGGAAGGTGAGGAGCTGGTAAACAGGGAATTGGAGCCAGGAACAAAGAAGGCGGTGCTGTGTCTCACCCCTCACTCGCAGTGAGCCAACTCTACTCTGAAATGGTTTATCTTCCTGCTCTTCCCCCACTGCCTCCGGCCTGTCTCAGATGTGCAGAGGTTCCACCTCCACAGACTCTTAACTTTCTGCACTTGATGCTTCCAGAGCGTCAAATAATTTATCTTCCAGATTTATTTTGCTCTTTAGAAAATGATCCAGTTCAATATGTTATTTCAAGAGAAAAACTCCCCCACTTTGTGATTTGGGCTTAAACTTTAAGTTTCTCAAATAGGACAGAAGCTAAGGTCTAGAAGCACAGAGGACAAACCATGGGCAGTTGCAGTTTATTGTAATAATAATCTTATTTGCCTGCGTGCATTCAAGATGATAAATGGCCGGTATCTCCTGATGGCTCAGCACGTTACTGAGAATCGTTTATCACAACATCCATCCCCAGAAAATAGGATTACTCCAACATTGCTCCACTTATCAAAATACTTTTTTCTCTGTTATGAATTTATCTGTATGTAAAATAGCATGCATACGTATCTTCATGTATGAGTATTTTCATGTATGAGTTTTTTCGTATGTACACATCATTATGCCGGATGGTTTTATGAGTAAGAGAAAATGATAAGAGGGGGCTAAATACTTAGCTTCTATTTGAGGTGGTTATCTACAGTACATGGTCTCAGGTCGGGTCCTTAACCAGGGCCACTGTTTCACAAAGTGCTTCTGATTGATCACTTGGGGGAACCAGAGGAGAGAGAATGAATGGATACAGGTAACAATAGCACAGCTGTTGAGAAATAAATATCCCAAACTTATATTGGTATTGAATTGAGCACTGAGAATTTTCTCTCTGCATACAGGCAGGAGAAACTTTCCTAAATTATCTTGCAAAGAGTTCAATGAATCCTCCATGAACACTTCCAGGACACTCTTATTACTAAGTCAAAAAGTATCTTTCCTGCTTGAGAAATAAAACCTATGAAAAAGTAAGCACAATGGTCAGAAAAAGCCTTTTCTTCTTTTCTTTTTTTATTTCTATAGGTTTTTGGGGAACAGTTGGTGTTTGGTTACATGAATAAGTTCTTTGGTGGTGGTTTCTGAGACATTTGGTCACCCATCACCTAAGCAGTATATACTGTAACCATTTTGTAGTCTTTTATCCCTCCCACCTTTCCCCTGAGTCCCCAAAGACCATTGCGTCATTGTTCATTGTTATGCCTTTGCATCCTCATAGCTTAGCTCCAGCTTATGAGTGAGAACATAGGATGTTTGGTTTTCCATTCCTGAGTTACTTCACTTAGAATACTGGTCTCCAGTTTCATCTAGGTCACTGTGAATTCCATTGTTTCATTCCTTTTTATGGCTGAGTAGTATTCCATGGTATATGCATACCACAATTTCTTTATTCACTCATTGATGGGCATTTGGGCTGGTTCCATATTTTTGCAATTGCACACTGTGCTGCTATAAATATGTGTGTGCAAATATCTTAGAAAAAGCCTTTTCTTATAGAACATATGGTGTACACTTTTATGAAGTGCAGTGAAGAGGAGCAGAAAGAGTATGAATATGGGACTCAGAAAAACCCGGGTTCAAATTTCATCTCTGCCCATTTACCAATTATGTGATCTTGAAAAAGGGACTTCACTGGTTACCTTCCATTTTTCTTGATCATAAAATCTGCTGAATAGTATCTGCCTCAAAGAACTGTCATACATATAAAACCTGAATATAATCTCCCAAGGTTTATAGGGGAGGCTATATGTGAAGCACCCCAGAGAACACTAAATCTCACCAACCCTGATTAGTCTCAGTCTGCACTGATGTGGGCTTGTTCGTGACACTCAGGAAGACTTCAGGGCAAAGGCTGGGAGGAAGAGGAGAACACTAGAACCATGAAAGGCTATGTCATTAGCCGCATACATTAGGGCATTGGCAACAAATGGTAGCAGAAAGTTGCATAGGTGGAGGGGCCCAATTTGGTGGTTGAAATAGGAATTTGAATTACAGAACATGAAGATTCTCAAAGTCAAATGGCAGCAGGCAGGGCTATATTCCAGATGCTGAGCCTGGGAACAAGGTCTATCCCAAGGGAGTTGGCAAAAGCTAATTCGAGTGTCAGGGCCTCAGCAAAGGCAGCTGGGGGATTCATATAGGACTGTAATTCCAGGAGGAAACTAGTGGCAAAAACTGAGCTGAGGCTCAGAAGATCAGTCACATAGATAAGGCTACTATGGAGGGCTTGGAGACAAGCTAGAGTTCAGTTGATTAATGGTTGGATGGGAATCAGCCCAGCTCCTGATGGCCACTGGGAGGCTGGCGGATGCATCCCAGTGGAAGGAACCATGACCCAATAAGACTGTCAGTGACAGGTTCTGCAGAGCTTTATGTGGGGGCCTCATTTGGGGCATAACTTGCTGAATCAGCCAGTGAGAGTCTTCAGTGTCCTAAGCACCAACTGAGAGAAAGAAAGCAAGTGACTTAGGCAAGAGTTTTCATTGCTTCCTGATCAAAGTGGAAAGCTGGATCTTCCAACCTCTCCTCTCTTTTCCATCCTTTCAGTGAAATCCGGCCCAACTCCACCGTGCAGTGGGAAGAAGTGTGCCGGCCCTGGGTCTCTGGGCATCGGAAGCTGATAGCCAGCATGAGCAGTGACTCCCTGAGACATGTGTATGGCGAGCTGGACGTGCAGATTCAAAGACGACCTTCCATGTGAATGCACAGGAAGCTGAGATGAACCCTGGCATTTGGCCTCTTGTAGTCTTGGCTAAGGAAATTCTAACGCAAAAATAGCTCTTGCTTTGACTTAGGTGTGAAGACCCAGACAGGACTGCAGAGGGCTCCAGAGTGGAGATCCCACATATTTCAAAAACATGCTTTTCCAAACCCAGGCTATTCGGCAAGGAAGTTAGTTTTTAATCTCTCCACCTTCCAAAGAGTGCTAAGCATTAGCTTTAATTAAGCTCTCATAGCTCATAAGAGTAACAGTCATCATTTATCATCACAAATGGCTACATCTCCAAATATCAGTGGGCTCTCTTACCAGGGAGATTTGCTCAATACCTGGCCTCATTTAAAACAAGACTTCAGATTCCCCACTCAGCCTTTTGGGAATAATAGCACATGATTTGGGCTCTAGAATTCCAGTCCCCTTTCTCGGGGTCAGGTTCTACCCTCCATGTGAGAATATTTTTCCCAGGACTAGAGCACAACATAATTTTTATTTTTGGCAAAGCCAGAAAAAGATCTTTCATTTTGCACCTGCAGCCAAGCAAATGCCTGCCAAATTTTAGATTTACCTTGTTAGAAGAGGTGGCCCCATATTAACAAATTGCATTTGTGGGAAACTTAACCACCTACAAGGAGATAAGAAAGCAGGTGCAACACTCAAGTCTATTGAATAATGTAGTTTTGTGATGCATTTTATAGAATGTGTCACACTGTGGCCTGATCAGCAGGAGCCAATATCCCTTACTTTAACCCTTTCTGGGATGCAATACTAGGAAGTAAAGTGAAGAATTTATCTCTTTAGTTAGTGATTATATTTCACCCATCTCTCAGGAATCATCTCCTTTGCAGAATGATGCAGGTTCAGGTCCCCTTTCAGAGATATAATAAGCCCAACAAGTTGAAGAAGCTGGCGGATCTAGTGACCAGATATATAGAAGGACTGCAGCCACTGATTCTCTCTTGTCCTTCACATCACCCATGTTGAGACCTCAGCTTGGCACTCAGGTGCTGAAGGGTAATATGGACTCAGCCTTGCAAATAGCCAGTGCTAGTTCTGACCCAACCACAGAGGATGCTGACATCATTTGTATTATGTTCCAAGGCTACTACAGAGAAGGCTGCCTGCTATGTATTTGCAAGGCTGATTTATGGTCAGAATTTCCCTCTGATATGTCTAGGGTGTGATTTAGGTCAGTAGACTGTGATTCTTAGCAAAAAATGAACAGTGATAAGTATACTGGGGGCAAAATCAGAATGGAATGCTCTGGTCTATATAACCACATTTCTAAGCCTTTGAGACTGTTCCTGAGCCTTCAGCACTAACCTATGAGGGTGAGCTGGTCCCCTCTATATATACATCATACTTAACTTTACTAAGTAATCTCACAGCATTTGCCAAGTCTCCCAATATCCAATTTTAAAATGAAATGCATTTTGCTAGACAGTTAAACTGGCTTAACTTAGTATATTATTATTAATTACAATGTAATAGAAGCTTAAAATAAAGTTAAACTGATTATATTTGCATCTGTGCAGAAGTGAATGCTTTTAATTTTCAATATAACACACTACTAATCACAACTTCTTGAGAAACCATCCTTCCTCCGCAGTAGACAACCCACCCTGGATAGGAAAACAACAAGCATTTATCCTCTAAAGAAAATGACTCTAACAGGTGTTAATGTCACAGTTTTCTTCACCTCTCTCTTTCTACATTTTATTAACTATATTCACTGAAGGATCAAGTTGCATATTAGTTCAAAAACCAGCTTCCAGAAACTATAAAATCTCTGTAGATATTTTCTCATAAATAATCTTATGAACCATTATGGTGAATCAGTGGATAGCCAGCATGGAGACCTAGCATAACGAACACATGTTATGGTCTTATGATAATCACGTATAGGAGATCCTATATTCATGGCAGACATCACTGAACAATTGTAGCTCAGATAAGACCTCAGAATCTTTCTCATTTCCAGGTAGCAACTAGCAATTGATTTTAAACTGGCACACAATCAATAGCTTACCAATGAAAAAGAGTCCAGGACCAGATGGATTCACAGCCGAATTCTACCAGAGGTACAAGGAGGAACTGGTACCATTCCTTCTGAAACTATTCCAATCAATAGAAAAAGAGGGAATCCTCCCTAACTCATTTTATGAGGCCAGCATCATCCTGATACCAAAGCTGGGCAGAGACACAACCAAAAAAGAGAATTTTAGACCAATATCCTTGATGAACATTGATGCAAAAATCCTCAATAAAATACTGGCAAACCGAATCCAGCAGCACATCAAAAAGCTTATCCACCATGATCAAGTGGGCTTCATCCCTGGGATGCAAGGCTGGTTCAATATACACAAATCAATAAATGTAATCCAGCATATAAACAGAGCCAAAGACAAAAACCACATGATTATCTCAATAGATGCAGAAAAGGCCTTTGACAAAATTCAACAACCCTTCATGCTAAAAACTCTCAATAAATTAGGTATTGATGGGACGTATCTCAAAATAATAAGAGCTATCTATGACAAACCCACAGCCAATATCATACTGAATGGGCCAAAACTGGAAGCATTCCCTTTGAAAACTGGCACAGACAGGGATGCCCTCTCTCACCACTCCTATTCAACATAGGGTTGGAAGTTCTGGCCAGGGCAATTAGGCAGGAGAAGGAAATAAAGGGTATTCAATTAGGAAAAGAGGAAGTCAAATTGTCCCTGTTTGCAGACGACATGATTGTATATCTAGAAAACCCCACTGTCTCAGCCCAAAAGCTCCTTAAGCTGATAAGCAACTTCAGCAAAGTCTCAGGATACAAAATCAATGTACAAAAATCACAAACATTCTTATACACCAACAACAGACAGAGAGCCAAATCATGAGTGAACTCCTATTCACAATTGCTAAAAAGAGAATAAAATACCTAGGAATCCAACTTACAAGGGATGTGAAGGACCTCTTCAGGGAGAACTACAAACCACTGCTCAAGGAAATAAAAGAGGATACAAACAAATGGAAGAACATTCCATGCGCATGGGTAGCAAGAATCAATATCGTGAAAATGGCCATACTGCCCAAGGTAATTTACAGATTCAATGCCATCCCCATCAAGCTACCAGTGACTTTCTTCACAGAATTGGAAAAAACTACTTTAAAGTTCATATGGAACCAAAAGAGAGCCTGCATCGCCAAGTCAATCCTAAGCCAAAAGAACAAAGCTGGAGGCATCACACTACCTGACTTCAAACTATACTACAAGGCTACAGTAACCAAAACAGCATGGTACTGGTACCAAAACAGAGATATAGATCAATGGAACAAAACAGAGCTCTCAGAAATAACGCCGCATATCTACAACTATCTGATCTTTGACAAACCTGAGAAAAACAAGCAATGGGGAAAGGATTCCCTATTTAATAAATGGTGCTGGGAAAACTGGCTAGCCATATGTAGAAAGCTGAAACTGGATCCCTTCCTTACAGCTTATACAAAAATCAATTCAAGATGGATTAAAGACTTAAACATTAGACCTAAAACCATAAAAACCCTAGAAGAAAACCTAGGCAATACCATTCAGGACATAGGCATGGGCAAGGACTTCATGTCTAAAACACCAAAAGCAATGGCAACAAAAGCCAAAATTGACAAATGGGATCTAATGAAACTCAAGAGCTTCTGCACAGCAAAAGAAACTACCATCAGAGTGAACAGGCAACCTACAAAATGGGAGAAAATTTTCGCAACCTACTCATCTGACAAAGGGCTAATATCCAGAATCTACAATGAACTCAAACAAATTTACAAGAAAAAAACAAACAACCCCATCGAAAAGTGGGCAAAGGACATGAACAGGCACTTCTCAAAAGAAGACATTTATGCAGCCAAAAAACACATGAAAAAATGCTCACCATCACTGGCCATCAGAGAAATGCAAATCAAAACCACAATGAGATGCCATCTCACACCAGTTAGAATGGCGATCATTAAAAAGTCAGGAAACAACAGGTGCTGGAGAGGATGTGGAGAAATAGGAACACTTTTACACTATTGGTGGGACTGTAAACTAGTTCAACCATTGTGGAAGTCAGTGTGGCGATTCCTCAGGGATCTAGAACCAGAAATACCATTTGACCCAGCCATCCCATTACTTGGTATATACCCAAAGGACTATAAATCATGCTGCTATAAAGACACATGCACACGTATGTTTATTGCGGCACTATTCACAATAGCAAAGACTTGGAACCAACCCAAATGTCCAACAATGATAGACTGGATTAAGAAAATGTGGCACATATACACCATGGAATACTATGCAGCCATAAAAAAGGATGAGTTCATGTCCTTTGTAGGGACATGGATGAAATTGGAAATCATCATTCTCAGTAAACTATCGCAAGAACAAAAAACCAAACACTGCATATTCTCACTCATAGGTGGGAATTGAACAATGAGGGCACATGGACACAGGAAGGGGAACATCACACTCCGGGGACTGTTGTGGGGTGGGGGGATGGGGGAGGGATAGCATTGGGAGATATACCTAATGCTAGATGACGAGTTAGTGGGCGCAGCGCACCAGCATGGCACATGTATACATGTGTAACTAACCTGCACAATGCACACATGTACCCTAAAACTTATAAATAATAATAATAAAAACTGAGAAAAAAAAACATTAACAACTGGTGAATGTAAGTGAAGGATATGTGAGTACTTATTGCACTGCTCTTGCAAATCTATAGAACTAAAATTTTAAAAAATAAAAATTTGCAAAATAAAAGAAAGAAAAAAAGAAACTGGCACGCAAGATGGAACCTGTTTGTCATGCTTACCCTTAGAGCCAGCCCATTCCCTTTGATAGCTAGGATTTCATACATATTAATGCTATGGCTCTAAGAGTTATGATTTAGCAATGATAACAAGCAATGTGTCTCAGGTAGCAGCAGGACTGTGAGTTCTAACTCTCCCTGAGTCTCTACCTGTGCTAGTCCTCAGTGTTTTTAAACAAATCCTTATTGGTGTTTGGGACTTCAAAGACAAAAGAGGGGAAACATAAGAAACATAAATATTTCTGTTTCTCCTGGGGGATATCTCAAACAACCTCAACAACAACACATATAAGATGATAGATAGATAGATAGATAGATAGATAGATAGATAGATAGATAGACAGATAGATATAGATAGATATAGATAGATTGTTTTGCAAATATTTCACCTCATCAGCCCTGTGACAGAAGTAAATATAACTATCTCCATAATTAAGAACCTAATTGAGCCTAGGAAGCCATCTATCATGGCAAATCAATCTCGGGGTGGCAGTGAGCAGTGAAACAACTCTGGTTTCAGAGTCACCATTTGCTGTACACTGTTTAAATCTTTTGTTGCCTCCTTAGAGTTTTAAGAATGCTGGCTTAAGACCAACTTCAGGATGCTTTGAAGAGCTGCAGTAGAACAACAAATAAAAATATGTATAAATTTGTATTAGAAATGTCATGGGAAATTGAGTTTGTGCTAGACTCATTGGCAATCAAAAGTCACAAAATCCCAGGGGGAAAGTCACTGCCTATGAACATTCGTCCAATGTTATTACAAAGTTAATCGTCAGCGAACCCAACCATCAATTAATTCACCTTTTCGACAATCCAGCCATCCCCTGACATCCAGACAACCATCTAGCCTTCCAAGCCATCTATCCATCCTTTTTTTCCAACAATCCACCCGTGCACACATCAGGTATCACTTTAGAGAACAGGGATGCAAAGATAAAAATTCCATGGTTCCTGCCCAGAAAGAGTTCATAAAGCAGAGGAGTAGCAAGATATTTAAACAGATAATCCACAACCAAATAATAGAGCTATGCCCAGGGTGCCATAGGAATGAAGACAGAAAGATGTCTAAAGAAGCCTTCCTCAATGTGCCCAGGAATCAAGGAGGAAAGGTTCAGATTGAATCTTGAAAAAATAATAGGTAAGTTGGAGACCATTTAACAAAGAGGAGCTCGTGTAACAACATAGAGAGAAGACCATGAACATGGCCCCCAACTGGCTTGAGATGGAGAGATGGTAAGTGTCCAGTGAGAAGAGGTGGGGCCGAAAACGCAGGAATGGGTCAGAGTTGGAGCACTTCCCGAAATGAGAATTTGTTTATTCTCGTCTGTATTGTAGAGTAGAACTAAGAGAGGCTGCTAGGAACAAACTAGATACAAAACTAAAAGTTATGCGTGGCTCAAGGAGTGACAGGGCCAAGAAAGTAGGGGGTGGAATGCCCTAACTCAGGCCAGTGAAGAAGGTGTCAGAATGGGGGTGTGGCCACAGTTGGATTCAAGGAAGGGAAATGAGACATACGAGGCTCAAGTGGATAAAGTGGGAGAGATAGCATGTAGAGACAGAGAGCTGTCTATGTCAGAAACTATAGAAGTGTAGACAGACAAGTTCCTTCTAGGGCAGCCAAGTAAAATCACCATGAGCAGGTAGCGCTGAAGACCCAGAATCTTGCCCCTCAGGTCATGCTTATGTCTGTCTTTGAGGCAAAATTCTCTCCAACCCAGTATCGAAAAGAAATGAACTGCTTCTAGAGACATTCCTTCACACCTTAAGGCAAGTTCGTCCTTCTGTTCTCACCACCCCAACTCATTCAGACTCAAGTTTGCCTTCCCAAGCACCTTCCTTTCTACATAAGAATGAAACAAACAAAAAGCCTTTTAGTGTGTCTGTAAGAAATTACTTTGTCGAAACAAACAAATAAATGAGAAACAAAGCGCCTCAGTTGCATCGGGAAAAGGGACAGGGAAACTGTGTTCACCTCAATTGCCAGGAATTATACACAGCATTTTCTAGCTCTAAAGACAATGAACATTTTTAAAAGATACTTGGTAAACTAGCTGTTGATACTACTCATGAACTCCCATTCATTTTCACACTAATCATTGTTCTAGGACTTACATAATTACCTAAGTAACGTTTCAATAGTCCCAAAACTAACATAAGGGGTCCTAATGAGCATTTCCTATTAGTAAACAGCATGTACCTATAAACGAAGAGGATTCTTTCCTCTCTTTTCTGATTTGAGCAAGTTTAGACAGTGGGAAGGTACAATATGAAAAATATGTTACCACCAGATTTAGGATTTGTTATAAAGGTGGCAGATTTTAAATGACCATAAAATGATTGTCACTCTTTCCATTGAGAAATGGGGACCACATTCCCTCTCCTGCCCTTGATTTTAGGTGGGCCGTGACTGCTTTGAAAGAATGTGATAAAAGCAATGCTGCCAGTTCTCAGCTCCAAGCCTTGGAAAACTGGCAGTTTCCACTTATTTTCTCTTGAAATCCTCTTCGTAGAAGCCCTGAGCTTCTGCCTAAAGGCTCAACTACTCTGAGACTCCCATGCTGGAGAAGCCACGGGTATACACACTTCAACCCTGCTCTGAGCTCAGCCTTCCAGCGACCTCCGCCAAGGCACCAGACCTGATAATGAGGCCATCCTGGGCGCTCCAGATCAGCCCATCCACCACCTGAACACCACCAAGTGACCTCAGTCAATGTCACTTAAGAATCACCCTGCCCAGCCTTGCCCAAATTCCTGTTCCACCAAATGATGAGATAGGATTAAATAGTTGGTTTTTAATTTTTGATTGATATATAATATACATATATATTTATGGGGTTATATGCATAGAATGTATAATGATCAAGTCAAGAAGTTTAGGGTATCCATCACCATGAGCATTCATCATTTTCATGTGATGGGAATATTTCAAGTCCCCACTTCAAGCTATTTTAAAATGTGCAATCCGTTGTTGTTAACTGTTATTTTAAGCCACTAAGTTTGAGGTCATTGGTAATGCAGTAAAACATTACCAGAACGCTAAGCTTAACAATCTCAGGAGAGAGAGAGAAATTTACTGGTTAATGCTATTTTTTGCTTCGAGGAAATGCTTAGTGTTTTTGAACTTTATCTGTTCTTTCTGAAGACTATGTACAGATATGCAGCATGCTGCCTCTCAGAAGCCTCCACATATGTCAGGAGACCTAATGTGTACTCCCAAGCATAATAGTTTAAACATTGCCATTTCCTTTAACTCTTCCTGCTAAATTGTGGTTTTATGGGCCTTTCACCATCCTTATCTCCACCAAGATTTGGTTAGATGCCATTAGGAATAACTTGAAGATGAGAGAGAGAGCACAGTGATGAAAGATGACATTTCTTTTTCACAAAAACCTAGGAAATGAGGCCTTCCTGTGGAGAATCTTGAAGAGATACCAGATTCACTAGCAGCCCCACGAACCCAGCCTACCTGGGAACTGAAGTACTCAGGAATGGCCAGTCTGGTCATAAGCTCCCGTTCTATTTTTTTCTTCTTGGATATTTAAAAATGTCTTGATGTGCACATAGATTTATACTGATATAGCTCAAACTATGTGAAACAAAATAGAATAAAGTAATTTACTTTTATATTGGTTATACCTAAATCCAAAATCTGCAGCCCCTGGAATTAGTAAACATAATAATGGCCTGGAACCAAGTGTTTCTGATAAAGGCGAGTCAGAAACCAGCCATGGGTGTAGGAAGTCAGTTGCACTTTGGCATGACTGACAGAAGTGACCCGAGATCCATCTTGCCTTCTAGCAATTTGTCCTCAGCCCTCACCGGAGGTCACAATGACCAGCCATTCTCCTGCCCAGACTCTTTCTACAAGGACAATTTATGCCACAGCTGAGACCCCATGTTTTTGTGTAAACCCTTTCATCAGAGCACGCACTGCCCAAGACCCACGGAAGGCCCAAGTCTAGGTGGTCTCCTGAGGTCCCTGACAGAATACACTGGGAGTGCTTCTCTCTGGTAAATCTTCATTGTTCTTTCCCATCAATCGGTATGACACAGCCCTCAGGAAGGGGAAGGGCATCTGATTTGCCATTCCATTTCTTTTTCCTCAGAAGAAAGATTCCTAAACTTCATAGAGGATGTCCTTCTATTGTGAACCATAGCATTTAATGTGGTTTTTGAATGTTTTCCTGCCACAATGACATTCTTATTCTCCTACTTTTGATGACATTTTATTATTCACTGTTTCTTTACAGTTTCAGGTGGTAGGCCCATATGGCTAATGTTACCCACACCTCAAATTTGAACATCTCTATTTTCCAGGGACTTTCAGGTGACAAGTAAACACAACCATTAAGCATCTCCCTATCCAAACCAAGCCTATCGAGGCTGAAGCACCCATGTATTGGCCTGCTACTTCCAAATTTGCTTTTATATACATTACTTTTATTATAGACACAGGCTAAGCTCATATGATTCTGTCGTCTTGGCTATAACCATGAATTCAAAAATTATGGCTCAAATAAAGGAATCTGCCTTTTATGCTTATCATTAAAACGAAATGCTGGGTATCTTCAGTAATATTCCAATTATCTTTATTGAGTACACAATGCTAAAAACTCATATAGATCAACAAAATATTATTACTGATGCAAAATTGAAAAATAGATATAATACAATAAAACCTGTCTCTCTGATGAAAAACAATAGGCTTCAGTGATATCTTCAACTAGCAATACTAACCAGAAAATGAAGGCTATTAACTGGGAAAGTTAAGCTTAAAAAAAGAGAAAAGCCCAAGTTCGTTTAAATCATCTAAATATAAAAGCATTCTACTTCTACCATTTCTTTTCTTTAATCCTGGGTATCTCCTAAAAGTCTAATTTAAAGATAACCATGGTATCCATGCATTCTAAATACAGATAAAATATAAAATATAATGAAGTACTGACTGTATCTTGCTTTTTGAAAATTAACATATCAGGCAATTAGATATCCAAAAGATTATGATCACTGTTATTCTTCTTATTATTAGTAGTAGTATTACCAATAAAGTATGCTTTTAAAATACCATGGGATAATTTGTCTTGTGCTAAACTGAGAGGCAGCAAAGAAGCCTGCTGACATAGTGAAATAAAAGTTGGTCTCAGACACTGCTGGTAAAGTGTAAATTGGTGCAACCCCTTTGGCAATCTATTTAGCATTATCTGCTAAATCTGAACAAATGCTATGACCCAGTAATCTTACTCCCAGGCATATTTCCAATAGAAATATGCTAAAATAGAATGGACAAATAAACCGTGGCATATTTACAATTAATTGTAACACAGCAATGAGAATACTAAAAATATATAATAAGATAAATAGCTCCATAAAATACAATACTATATAAAATATTACAAGATGAAAGAACTGCAGCCTAACGTTGAAATAAAGAAACCAGACACTAAATAGTACATGTCATAACATGATTCTATTTATTTAGAATTCAAAAATAGGCAAAACTCATCTATAGGTTAGAAGTCAGGATGGTGGTTACCCTTGGAAGAGGGACTCAAGGGACACAAGAGAGCTTCTGGGAAACCAGAAGTATTCCATTTCTTGATCTGGGTGTTGTAAAACTTCATTGAAATAGACATTTAGGCTGGGTGCGGTGGCTCACGCCCATAATCTCAGCATGTTGGGAGGCCAAGTCGGGGGGATTACCTGAGGTCAG
This sequence comes from Homo sapiens, assembly GCF_000001405.40. NCBI lineage: Eukaryota > Metazoa > Chordata > Mammalia > Primates > Hominidae > Homo > Homo sapiens. The sequence continues at coordinate 6,135,049 of NC_000006.12, read as the reverse complement.
GAGTTCTAGACCAGCCTGGCCAACACAGTGCAACCCCGTCTCTACTAAAAATACAAAAATTGGCCAGGCGTGGTAGTATGTGCCTGTAATCCCAGCTGCTCAAGAAACTGAGGCAGGAGAATTGCCTGAACCCACGAGGCAGAGGTTGCAGTGAGCTGATATCGTGCCACTGCACTCCAGCCTGGGCAACAGAGTGAGACTCCATCTCAAAGAAAAAGGAAAAGAAATACACATTTATTATTATATTCATTATTTATTGCTCTTGTGACATATTACCCCAAAACTTAGCTGCTTGAAACAATATTTATAGCTCATAATTTTGTAGGTCAGGAATCCAGGCATGACTTAGCTGGGTCCTCTGGCTCATGTTTGCTCACCAGGCTGCCATCAGCTAGCCAGAGATGTAGTCTTATCTGAAGGATTGAGTGGGACATGATCTGCTTTCAAGCTTGTTCACAGGTTCCACACAGACTGGTAGACTGAGGGCCTTGGTTCTTTGCTAGCTGCTGGTGGGAGGTCACTCTTAGTTTTTTGTCATGCGAGTATCTCTCCAGGGCAACTCACAACTTGACATTTGGCTTCATCATGGTGAGAAATCAAGAGAGCAAGATAGGGCAGGCAAGAGAGAAGCCAAAATCTTTTTGTAGCCTAATCTCAGAAGTGACAGCCCATCATTTTTGTTGTATTCCATGTACTAAAAGTGAGTCAGTGAGTCCAGCCCACAGTCAAAGGTTGGGAACTATACAAGGACATGGATATTAGGAGGCAGGGATCATTGGGGACCATCTTAGTTATGCTTCAATAACAGTAACAGAAGAAAATTATTCTTAGAATTGCCAAGATAAAGCCACAGGGTCTGGCTATACAAATTTTTTTTAATTTGTTTCATATTGTTCTTCTTCCTTGGCTGAAGAAGCTGTCCATGAATATGTATTGAGTCCTATTTCATTTTCTTGGGGCTTTTCCCTCTTTAACATCAAGCTTCCAGATTTACTTCCTGACAGGACACCATCTGACCAGACTCAACTGAGCTGCTTTGACCTCCTAGTCAAAGGCTTAAGTTCCCTAGCTCAAAAAACAATGTCTGGATGCCAGAGAGGGAGGCACTGCTGTTCTCACTTTAGTAGCACATTATAGATAGAGTTTGGAAAAGGACTTGGAAAACCAACACTCTTCATTAGTAATATTTGCCCATATCAATTGGAATTTGCTTCAGTGTGCATAAAAATAAGTAAATAAAACAGAGATTGGATGGCAGACCACATGTTAACACATGGAAAATCATACCCTCTATGCCTAAAGTTGATTATCTCTTTTACCTCTGTTGTGGCCTGGCATGGCTTCCCTGACAATTTCTACCAAAGGTTGAAAGGAATTGTAGTATCTGGCTGACCCATCATGATGATTTCCTTTGCCAATAATGACTACAGTCCCAAATGACTAAAACAGAGCCTATCTAGGCAAGCATCCACTTTTTATAGGAGCTCTGCAGTTCTGGTGTATACATTGCTACCTGGTACAGAATAAGCATGTATTGAATGAATGAATTATCCTAATGGTCATCTAATGGAGTAGGGAAAAACTGTTACTCTCCCTGGTACTCCATAGTTCAGGCTCTTCCTGTTATTGGTTACCCCCATTCAATAATTTTTTTATGCTCCCAAAATGCCAAAGCCCTTTTTCTTCAGGCATTTTGTTTCCTTTTTCACCATACTGGGTCCTCAGCATACAAGCCCAAATAATATCAAAGACAACAGATGTCAAGATAAAATGAGAATCAGAACTTCACTATTGAGCATAGCTCATTTGAACATATCCCATTGTCTATCTGCTCCCCTCTGGAAATAAATCATCCTAACCTGAATTATCCTAACCAAGTTTCCCAGCAGCCTACCTCCCATTTTCCCGTGCAGAAGACAATAATCAGAAAATCAGAAACAGTCCTTTTCTCTTTCCCATACTACCACCAAAGTAGCTTTAAACAACTCTGCAGGAAAGATTCTGTCACTCAGAGCTCCTTTTGTTACTGGGATTGGAGTTCAGGGATGAGGCCAGGTTTTAAAAATTTAGAGATAAATATACAGAAAAAGAGAGAAGTTGAACTTTCATTTTCTATCTCAAAACCAAGCACCATGAGCTGACCTTCCCACAAATGCAGTTTCCAGCCACTCAAGGAGGTAATCCCCAACTCTGGCAGTGCCCAAGCAGACGCTAAGACTCACCTTCTCTGATGGGAATGGTTTCATGAGGGTTGCTAAACTGGACAAGAGAATGGAAAAGAGAGTTACTAAAGTCACTTCCAACTCTAAGAAGCTATTATTAAATGGGTCTTTATTTGATATAACACCTAACATTTTCCCATCAACAATCTGAGCTGAAACATGCACTGTGTCATTCAGTCTTTCCTGTGATCACGATGGCTATTGCGGGTCTTGTTCACAGTGTGTGTCCACAAACAAGCATTTTGTTACCTTACCCAGGTGAGAATTTAACCCGCAACTTGAGGCTCGTCAGTATGCCCTTGTAGCCAACTGTTTTTATCAGATAAAGACAATATGCTTTTGGAGTACCAATAATGAAATACGCCAGATGTAACAAAAAGAAAGACAGACTTCTCAACTTATTAGCTGGATTCCCAGACTTTTTCCCACAACACCTGATGCGTAATTTTAAATAATAATTGCCTTTCAATTAACAACCATGGGAAGTCAGTAAAAGCAGGAAAAATAAAGGCCTAGAAGCAAAGTGATGTTGAGGACTGAGCAATTAATAATAATCCAGGCTCCAGAAATGACTGTTAATTGTATCAGTTGGTTGGAGGAGGTTGAATTTTCAAGAAACACTGCGTATGTATTGGAAGCATAAATGTATGGAAAAACATGGCGTACTCAATGTTGCATAGACCCATTCCTAGCTAACCACTATCTAGAATTTAACAAGATTTCAAATAGCTGGAAATGAGAAGTCAAGGCTGGGAGGAAATGCTGTCAGGAGCAAAACAGCTAAAGGATGTGCAACCAGTTGGAGGCTCCCCCTCCATCAAAGTTAGCTGAGACAGGAGCTCCTCTTGAATCATGGGAAGTGTTAAGACCTCCTAAGTAGGAAGAGTGGGCCAGAATGAATACCACAATGAAGTATCTAGGCCCAACAGGGGATGACAATATGTAGTAGAGAGACAGTGCCTTTGATTAAAGGAGGTATCAAAATGTTGCCTACTTTACAGCTCCACATCCAATTAATATTGCTACACCTTTTTTCTCCCCTCTGGAAAAAAAAAAAAAAAAAAAGCACTTAACCAATGAACTGATTCTCTGGCCTTGGCCCTAGGGAAACATGTTTCTCTTACTTTATCCACCAGGAGGCGGTAAAGAGTCTTCTCTAGTGCAGAGCTGAGTTGGGTTCTTGGGCGGAAGGTTCAGCCCACATAGTCTATAATCCTACTTAAGGTCGTAGAAAATTAGGATTGTCTGTTCTGACATTATGCATTAGGCATAAAGAATAAGGCATTAAAGGCTGCTGATCTAATTACCACTTTCTGTGCCCTCCATCTTCGCAGAGCCCAGGAAATATCAGCACTGCTCAGAAAGAGTACATGTTCAGATTTCTTCTTGTATCTGTCTCTGCCTCCCCTGAAGTAGTTTTCTGGGAAAGAGAAAGACTGTAATAAAACCAGATATACACATGTCTTAATTAGAATGAAAGATGGATGTTTATTATTTCCAAATACTTAGTACTTTACATGCATAAGAACTCCGGTCTCTGCAAAATCTGAATTAAAAGAAATGATGCAACTAAAAAAATTAATTTCTTATGTTTCAGAAGACTAGTACCAACACCCATATCTCCTTATATTAAATGCATTGGCACTAAGTCCTAAGAAAGAGTGTGAGGGGCTGAAGGGACTGGGAACTGGTAAGGTGGCTCTCTGCAGACTAGCTGGCCTGGCACACTCAATGCTATCTCTTTTCACAGACTTCTCAGATTTGCAGTAGCTCCCTCCCCACCTTCTACTGTACCTCAGAGAGGGTTCTCAGCATCTTTGCCTCCCCTGCACATCTCCTCTTTACTTTGGCTCATTTGCATGTGCATGTGAAGAATGTTAGATTTTATAATTCCAGGAAAGGACAATAAAAGCAGATGCAGTCTGGCTCTGGCTGATCTATAAATGGACCCAAATTAAATCTGGGTAGCCAAATGTGGTGGCATGCACATGTCATCCCAGATACTTGGGAGGCTGAGGCAGGAAGATCACTTGAGCCAGGAGTTCAAGACCAGCCTAGGCAACATAAAGAGATTCCACCTCAAAAAAAAAAAAAAATTCTGGGCAGTGCTGAGAACAAAAGCAATATCAAATATAGAGCTCACCAAAAGCGTTCTAGATTTGGATTTTAAGAGGCTTAAGATACTCTCCAGGACATTGGAATGGGCAAAGACTTCTTAAGCAATAGTTCCACAGGCACAGGCAACCAAAGCAAAAATGGACAAATGGGATCACATTGAGTTAAAAAGCTTCTGCACAGCAAAAGAAACAATCAACAAAGTGAAGAGACAACACACAGAATGGGAGAAAATATTTGCAAACTACCCATCTAACAAGGGACTAATAACCAGAATATATAAGGAGCTCAATTGACTCTGTAAGAAAAAAATATAATAATCTGATTTAAAAATGGGCAAAAAGATCTGAATAGGCATTTCTCAAAAGATGATATACAAATGGCAGATACATGAAAAGATGCTCAACATCAGTGATCATCAAAGAAATGCAAACCAAAGCTACAATGAGGTATCATCTCACCCCAGTTAAAATAGCTTATTTCCACAAAACAGGCAATAACAAAAGCTAACAAGGATGTGGAGGAAAGGGAACCCTTGTACCACAGGCGGGAATGTAAATTAGTACAACCACTGTGGAGTACAGTTTAGAGGTTCCTCAGAAAAACTAAAAATAGAGCTACCATATGATCCAGCAATTCCACTCCTAGGTATATACCCCAAAGAAAGGAAATCAGTATATCAAAGAGATATCTGCACTCTCATGTTCATTGCAGCACTGCTTACAATCACCAAGATTCAGAAGCTACCTAAGTGTCCATCAACTGACAGATAAAGAAAATATAGAACATATACACAATGGAGTAAAAAGGAATGAGATTCAGTCACTTGTAACAACATATACGGAACTGGAGGTCATTATGTTAAGTGAAATAAACCAGGCACAGAAAGACAAACATCACATGTTCTTACTTATCTGTGGGTGCTAAAAGTTAAAACCATTAGAACTGATGGAGATAGAGAATAGAAGGATGGTTACCAGAGGTTGGGAAGGGTAGTCAGGGAGAAGGGGCAGGAGAAAGGATGGCTAATGAGTACAAAAAAAAAATAGAAAGAATGAATAAGACCTAGTTTGATAGCATAATAGGGCAACTATAGTAAAACAGAATTTAATTGTGCATTTTAAAATAGCTAAAAGAATATAGTTGGATTGTTTGAAACACAAAGAATAAATGCTTGAGGTGATGGATACTCTATTTATCCCAATAAGATTATTATGATTTGCATGCCTGTATCAAATATCTCATGTAACCCGCAAATATATACACCTACTATGTACCCACAAAAATTAAAAATAAAAAATTTTCAAAGAGACCTTAAAGACAATAGCCTCTCCCTCTCTCTCTCTGTCTCCCTCAACATGCAGTCATTTTTATCAAGACCTATTTTCATTGACTTTTATGATAATTTCGCTTTAATTCTATCACTTTCACATGTATTTCCTATATTTAGAGGGAAAGGAAAGACACAGAAAAGGTGAGTAAAAAGCTATATAAAGTTGAATAACAAAACTCTGCTTTTTGATGATTCATGATCTTTTGATGGTGTAAGCAGTTTACTTTATAAACCCACACTGACTATTCCGCTGCATGTTGGTTGTTGAAACACAGAATCACTCTAGTCTTAAAATGCCAATTTATTATCTGCTCTTTGGTTAATATTCATCTCAAGAAGATAGACTGCCATTAGATACCAAGGGTTACAAATTCAAAGTTATACTTCCTGATTTGAAAAATAAATTATTTTTCTTATTTAATCACCTAAGCCAGGTTTAATGAACCATTTTATAAGGCCATTTAGATAAGATTAGCTAATCCATATGATTTGTCTAACTTCTATGTTTTTCCATATCATCTATATAATGCTTTACTTGTAGTAAGTTCTCAAGTAAATGTAAGTTGAATTTAATTTCATTTTCACTTATTGGAGAGATTCATAATCCATGTTGGAAAGACTGCTTAAATGCTCCTTTACACCAAACTAAAAGCATACCTTTTTAGTTTTTACTATTTCTTTGCATTTCTCCCAAAATCTACGGACTTACTGAGAATGAAAACTGTTTAAGGTCTGAGTTTCAGGGTATCACAAAATCACAGGGCCCAAGACGTATAAGACAAGGGTCAAACGCACTCCAAGGCTCCAAAGATGTGTGCAGTAACAGAGACCCCACTTCAGCTGTTGCTCAGGAAGATGAGCCATGACACTAACAAGCTCATGCTCCAGGGCCACTCACTTGCACTGTGCCCTTCTAAAGCTCTGAAGGAGCCCTGGCATTGTTTTGACATGGTCATAGCTATTTTTTAATTCTGCAAAAGGAAAACAGTTTCACCATAATCAGTTAAATTATCAGTTTTCCCCCAGCCTACTTCTCTTTGTATTAGATGGCATTAGACTATACACAGGCATTTTGGGGATCCAGATAAGGGAAGGATATACTGGGGATAGATTCACTTTATATTTAGTTGAATATACTTATGTGGTTCATCACCTCTGTGGTGTATAGTGAGGTTACTGCTAGCTACCTCACCCTAAGGATGACTTCCAGGAATACTGCCATCTCTTATTTACAAACGTGTAGGGCCAAAGATCTACTATGGTACAGGTGAATGTGACCTATGGTGCCCAGCACTGGATGTATATAGAAGAAACAAGGTATAAAATGTAGAGAGCTTGAAGCTAGTCTGTGTAAGCTTGCAAACTAAGGATTCAGTTCTTGTCAATACCAAGTCAAAATGAAAGAACTCTACTGAATAATACGGCATATATAGTTTTAAACACATTATGTGACTGTTTTATGGGAATAACATAAAATAAAATTATGAAAAATCTTGCATTTAAGCACACAAGCAATTACATTAGCATGTGAGCTTGCATATGCATCCCAACGTATCACATCTTAGCAGCTTGATGCACCGAATCCAAATAAAGTCTGGTAGTTCCAGGTGAAATATTATGAAACTTCCTACTGATGCAGTGAAACAGGCTGAAAAAACAAATGTTCCAGTGACAAACTCCTATACATATTCATCAATAAGTCAAATGTATGATATAATAGTAATTTTATTATGCAATTATACAACTAAGTATAACATAGCAGTAATTTTAAAATGCATTTGAATTGCTCTTTCTTATGCCTTAATGTCAGATAAATTTTGAGTTTTATTCAAAAATTCTACATTTTACTACAATTCAAATGTGACTGAAAGTAAGAATCCTAGTAGGAGCCAAAATGTAAACTGAAAGAAAGGAAATGCAGAAGTTTCAAAATGTGAAAGTGTTCTTCAAGCATTTCTTTCTGCCTTGCTGTTTATCTTCTACTTCAAATTGTATTTTCTTCTGGAATGATTCAAGGAAAATATCATTAAGTGGTGCTAAGTGGGGTGGAGGATTGGGTTGAACAGAAACCTAGCATGGGCATTGAAGCCCAGGCAAGATGAACCAGGTACCCCATGTGAGGGATGGTCACAGTACAACATGGGCTGTCAGAACCTCAACAGCAGAGGAAGAGGTTCCTATGGGATGGTATGATGGAAGCAGCCCTGGAAAATAGTATCAGCACACAAGCCATATGAGGAGGGGCTTTTACAAGGGACTAGCATCAGCCCAACACAGATTGTTGGAGACAGAGCAAAGTGAAGAGGGTGTCCATATAATGGGAGGGTGGTGAAATCTGCAGCCTGGGCACAGGCCAATGGAGCCATGCTAGGTGGGGGAGGGGGGCATGATGTGGGTGTGAAAGTAGCAAGACAAGAAAGAAAGGCATCCCCATCACATGCTGGTGGTGGCCCAGGACTGGGTATTAGAGCCCAAGCTAGGAGAGGAAAGTGTCTTTGCAGTGGGGGAAGTGGGAGCCAGTACTGGTGACTGGTAAGTAAATATATTGAAGATAGTTACAAATAGGAAAAGAGAAAAAACAAGAATGATCTCTGTAGTACTGAACTGAAATTGGAAATATTGATGTGAACTCACAACTTTCTATATATAGATAGATATGAAAATAAATCTAAATGTATGTATTTATGTACGCACCTCTGTACCTAATTCCCCCACTAAGTCGGCTGTTACTGACACCCAATAGCTAAGAGCACACCTTAAATGCACTGTGGATTCTAAATGCATTTCCCAGAGAAAAATACCAAGACTCCTTGGAGAAAAGACTAATTCCAAGGCAGGGCAGGGAAAATACAAGATGAGCCTGGATTATTTTAAGGCAGAAAGTGATGAAGTGCTCAAAGAATAATAGGAACATGACGAAAGACCTGACACAGTTTCGGCATCTAATAATAATGATAGTAATAGATTGGAACTCATTGAGTAAGCTAGGAGTCCTTGGTACTATAAATATATATCTACATACATACATACATACATACATACATACACAAATAGATAGAAGTGTTTGCCTTATATCAAGTAATAAATATAGAAGAAAAATTGAATTAGAAAATAACAATTTAGCATTCATCACAGTAATAATTAACTTAGTCAAGAAACACCAATGGATGCTAAAACTAGTGTGTGAAAGTTTTATGACAACGGGGATATTTTAAACAGTCTTGAAAAATTTCCCCACAAAACATATATTAATTGCAAAAGAGAAAACAGTAACTTAACAGTGCAGAAACCTGGCAGATATCACCTTGATCAAATGATCAAAGTTAACATCACCGATAATAGGACAAATCCAAATCATGTGTCACCTAATCTAATGCAATGAGAAGAGAACAACAATGCTCCTGTGATATTCCTGCCACAGAAGCATAACCTGAACAGAATCATAAAGAAACATCAGGGAAACCTAAATTAAGAAACACTTTACAAAAGCGGGGGAAGATTCAAGATGGCTGACTAGATGCAGCTAGTACACTCCTCCACAGAGAGGAACCAAAATAGCAAGTAGATATTCACACTTAAAATAGATTGTCTAGGAGAGACACTGGGATTCAACACAGAAGTGAAGGGAAGCACCGACAGCTAGTAAGGAGAGGGAAGCAAGACCTCCTGCTTGGCTAGGGTTGGCAGGGAGCCAAGAGAAGCTCCCAGACATGGTATAGGATAAGAGGGAGACTTCCAGGGCTCCCCAGTGCTGCCATGGTCTTTTAAAATCTTAGCTACAGGAGAATCCTTCAATCCATGTGGGTTCGAGACTAACATAGGGAGTTTTCTAGAGATTGCACAGAGGCATTGCTCCAGAGAGGATACTCACACAGAGTCCCACAGGCATCCAAAACCTGAGTTGCTACAGCTTGGTGCCATTCTAGGAGCCAAGCTCCCAAAGGAATATGTCCTGCCCTGGGACCAATGCCATCATTGCTGCTGCTTCCACCAGGCCAAGAAGGGAGGGAGGAAGCCAGGCACTACCATGCACCCCTATGACAAATCCCACTGCTGCTGCTATGGGCCACTGTGGGATTGTATTTGTCCATTTTGAATCGCTATAAAGGAACACTTGACACTGGATAATTCATAAAGAAAAGAGGTTTATTTGGCTCACAGTTCTGCAGGCTATATAAGCATGGCACCAACATCTGCTTGGCTTCTGGTGAGGCCTCAAAGAGCTTTTACTCATGACAGAAGGTGAAAGGGAAGCAGGTGTGTCACATGGTGAGAGAGGATGCAAGAGATAGAGAGGAAGGGGTTTCAGACTATTTTTCACAACCAGATTTTGTGGTAACTGACGGAGTGAAAACTCACTCATTACTGCTTGGCTTCTGGTGAGGCCTCAAGGAGCTTTTACTGATGACAGAAGGTGAAGGGTGAGCAGGTGTGTCACATGGTGAGAGAGCATGCAAGAGATAGAGGATGAGGTTTCAGACATTTTTCACAACCAGATCTCATGGTAACTAATAGAGTGACAACTCACTCATTAGTGCTGGGACAGCACCAAGTCATTTATGAGGGATCCATCCCCATGAACCAAACATCTCTCACTAGGCCCCACCTCCAACATTGGGGATCACATTTCAACATGAGATTTGGAGGAGACAAATATCCAATCCATATTATTCTGCCTCTGTTCCCCCTCCAAATCTCATGTCCTCCACACATAACAATATGAAATTATCCCTTCCCAATAGTCCCCAAAAGTCATAACTTGTTCCATCATTAACAAAAATTCAAAGTCCAAAGTGACATCTGAGACTCAAGGCAAGTTTCTTACAGCTGTGAGCCATGAAATCAAATAGAAGTTATTTTCTTCCAAGATACAATGGTGGTACAGGCATTGGGTAAACATTCTCATTACAAAGAGGAGAAATTGGCCAAAAGAAAGGGGTTACAGGCTCCATGCAAGTTTGAAACCCAGCAGAACAGACATTAAACTGTAAAGCTCCAAAATAATCACCCTTGACTCCATGTTCTGCATCATGGGCACACTGGTATGTTGGGTGGGCTCCCAAAACCTTGGGAAGATCTGCCCCTGTAGCTTTGTTGGGTGCAGCCCCCATGGCTGCTCTCACAGGTTGGAGTCCAATGTCTTTGGCTTTTCCAGTCTCAAAGTGCAAGCTGCCAGTGCCTACACCACTCTGGTGTCTGAAGCACAGTGACCCCATTCCCACAGCTCCACTAGGCAGTGCCCTGGTGGAAACTCTGTGTTGGGGCTCCAGCCCTACAATTCCCCATCGGCACTGTCCAAGTAGAGAGGCTGTCTGTGGGGCTCCACCCCTGCAGCCGTCTGCTGCCTGGAAACCCAGGCTTTCCCATGCATCCTCTGAAATCTGGGTGGAAGCCACCAAGCCTTCTTCACTCTTGCATTCTGCATACATGCAGACTTAACACCATGTGGACGTCACCAAAGCTTATGGCTAGTGTCCCAAGGCTGCACAGGACACTGAGGACTCAGGCATGGCCCCTGAATCCATTCTTTCCTCCTAGGCCTCTGCACCTGTGATGGGAGGGGACTTCCCCAGAGATTTATGAAATTCTTTTGAGGTTTTTTTTTTTTTTTTTCCATTTTCTTGGCTATTAGCACTTGGCTCCTCTTTAGTCATGCTAATCTCACTAGAAAGTGGTTGGAGCCCTCTTGGATTCTTTTCCTGAAAATGCTCTTTCTCTACCACATGGCCAGACTGAGGATTTTCCAAATTTTTACACTTTGCTTTCTTTTAACTATAAGTTCCAACTTTAAATCATTCCTTTGTTCCCACATCTAATTGTAGGTTAGAAGCAGCCATGCCACTTCTTGAATACTTTGCTGTTTTGAAATTTCTTCTGCCAGATACCCTAGGTCATTCTAGGTTCAACCTTCCACAGATCCCTATGGAATGGACATAATGTATCCTAGCTTTTTGCTAAGGCATAACACAAGTGACCTTCACTCTGTTTCCCAATAATGAAATGAGGAACCTCATTTCCATCGGAGACCTCATAAGCCTGGCCTTCACTGTCTATGTTTCTATCAGTCTTTCAGTCACAAACATTTAACCAGTCTCTAAGAAGTTCCAAAATTGTCCTCATCTTTCTGACTTCTTCTGAGCCCTCCAAACTCTTCCAATCTCTGCCTGTTACCCAGTTCCAAAGCTGCTTTGGTCACATGATCCTTGGGGTGTCACAGTGCCAGCCAGAAACTTCTGTGTATGGTGGTGCCTTCTGCCTGAGAATTAATTGCTCACACCCACTGGGCTCGTTCTGTCCACTCAGCCCAGCAGGCTGAACTCGAACTGCACTACCAGCCCAGATCCCACACCTACCAAGGGAGAGTCAGGTGCAGAGTGGTGAGGGGGAGGAAGCAAGCATGGTGTCCAGCCACTGCACACAGCCAGGTATGCTGGCTGCTGCAGTGGGGCGGGCAGCTCCAAGTGCCAGCACAAGCATGGGCTTCATGCAAGTCTGTGGCTATACCAGACATACCAAAAGTGGCTTCTGCTGCAGGCACCAGTGTCTGGACAAGGGGAACGTGGTGGTGCCCAAAAGCTTGGAGACCTCAGGAACTGCAAAGCCCCAAAGAGAGTATCATAGCAATGGCTAGGGGAAACCCTATGTGTGGGTTCCCTGAAGGGCCACAGCTGTCCTCTCTTTGTTGTCCTCAACATGGTAAGTGCAGGGGTGGGGGGCCATGTTTCAGCCCTGCTTGTGTTATAGCTCTTTCAGACCTGCCATTGGGTGAGTCCCGAGTTCTTGCCCTGTGTCCAGGAAGAATGAGGTATGCAGAAAACTGGATGGTGAGCAAGGCAAAGAGGAGTTCATTGAGCAACAGAATAGCTCTCAGGACCCAAAGTGGATAGCTCCTTTCTGTAGGCAGGTCATCCTGATGAGTACAGCCGTCAGTGAAGAGGAGACCCACAGTGGGTAGCTCATTTCCACAGGCTGAGTGTCCAGCTCTCAGCAGAGAGGAGACCCACAGTGGGTAGCTCCTTTGCACAGGCAGGTCGTCCCCACAAGCGGAGGATACCTGAAGTGGGTAGCTCCTTCCCACAGCTGGTAGTCTTCATGTTTGTGTGAGTCTGGCTGAATCTCAGGTTTTTATGGAATCAGAAGGGAGAAAGTGCATGCCAATTGGTCCATGTGTGGCCATGGGAGGACCAGGATAAAGCACCATAAGTTCTCACTCCAGGCAGCAGACTCCACCCAGAACTGGCAGTCTGGCCCCCAGGCTATAGGCCATCCATGGCTTGAAGGTGGGGCTTCACTGGGGACTCTCCCTTCCTGCCCAGGAAACTGTTTGCTTCCTGCTGCCATCAATATGCCATCCCCTACACCCAGGCTGTTTGTGCTGAGAGGCACCTGCAGTCCTGTGCCAAGTCACCTCAGTGCCCCCCCAGCCTCCCTCCTGTGCTCCTCAGTGCCCAAAGTCTGGAGGGAGCTGAGGCAGCAAGGGGCTGGTGTATCAGCACCACCCTGAGTACACACACATCTGGCCAGGTCACAATAGTGCTGCAACTTTGGTCTGCACCAGAGCTGGGCTTGGCTGCAACTTTGCTCTGCACCAGAGCTAGTGCCAGGAGTAGGGAAAAGCAAGGAAGTGGGAGCAAGCACTACCAAACCTGCAAGGGCAGGGGGTCTTCCTGGGCCCCAAGACCACAGGGAAGCCCAGGTACGGAGCCACAGCTGGGTGGCTGCAGCTGCACCCACGAGCATGGGCCTCCTACTCTGCCAACTTGGTAGGGGGTGGGGCCCACACCAGCCCCATGGAGCGCACAACCCCAGCTGTGCCTCCCCCACTGCAGCTGGCATCTTCACAGCAGCCACTCCAGACAGGCAGCCACTGCCATTACTTCTACATATTTGGGTATCTTTATAGCAATGCTCCCCTCCTTCTTAGTTCCAATTTTCTCTATTAGTTCATTTTACATTGGTATAAAGAAATATTTCAGACTGGTTAATTTATTTAAGAAAATAAATATCTTTTTATCTTGAAGAAGTAATAAAAAAGAAATAAAATATCTTTTATCTGGCTCTCAGTTCTGCAGGCTGTACAAACATGCCACCAGCATCTGCTCAGCTTTTGATGAGGCCTAAGGAAACTTTCACTCATGGCAGAAAGTGGAGTGGGAGCAGATGAATCACATGGTGAGAGACAGAGAGAGTGGAGGGGGTCACCATACACTTTAACAACCAGATCTCACAGTACTAATAGAGTAAGAACTCATTCATTACTACTGGGACAGCACCAAACCATTAATGAGGGATCTGACCCCATGATCCAAATACCTCCCACTAGGCCCCAGTTCCAACTTTGAGGATCACATTTCAACATAAAATTTGGAGGGAACAAATATCAAAACTATATCAGGGACCAAGGTATGAGCAAACTGCACTTGTCACAGCTATCTGCCTACACTGCTCCAGCTGAGAGGGACTCTATTCTCCCTGGTGGTAAGTCTTCATCTGTCATGATTCTGAAGGCCTAGCTTCCAAAAGTCTGCATCCTGCCCTGCAGCCAGTGACAATATTGTTCCTGCTGCTGCTGGTCTAAAGAGAGAGGGAGAAGCCAGGCCCTTTCACATTCTTTGAAGACAAATCCCATTGCCACTGTTATGGGCTGCTTGTGGGGGCTGGGGGCATGGCAAAGTGAGGAGTAAGCAAACTGCACTCCCCACAGCTACCTGCCTATGCTGTTCCAGTTAAGACGGACTCTGCACTCTGTAGTGGCAGGCCCACAGCACAGCCA